>NC_000013.11:74317196-74468712 GCF_000001405.40 Homo sapiens | reverse complement strand
TTCCTGATTGTCTCATCTGAATACCTCTCAGAATTGCCAAGCATAAAGGACGTTTTCCTATCATGGTTGACATCTCAGCTACATTCAACATGATTGTTCCCCTCTTCTTTAAACAATTTATTGGCTTCCATGTCCCAAAATTGCCCTCAGTGAAGTGCCTCGGGATTTTTTCTCCTCATTCTATGCTCTATGCCATCTCCCCACATTTGTACCCTCTGTTACATCTAAAATTATACATCCATATGAGGAGATGTCCCATGACGGAGGGGCCATGCTACAACCAGAGGCTAGCGGAGCAGAGGGAGTTAAGACTATACAATAGAAAGCAGAGAATGAGGCTCTGACATAGCGAGAAATAAGAATAGAAATTCTAGGAAATAATGACAAATAGGAAAAGAATCAAAGGAGGATAAAAGTTAGGGAGATAGAGGAAGGGAAGGAGGAAAGATTAACAAACAGATTAGGAATAGGAGTAGTGAAGTAATGTTTTATATTGCCTTTTCCCTCCCTCTGACCTCATTACACACCTGACCACCAGTGAGCTCTAAAATAAGATGATAATTAAAGAGGTGCCTACAAGTAGGTAGGGCCGGTAAGTATAGAACAATGATAAGGACCTACAGGAAGGTGATGATGATTTAGGACCTGCAACAAAGGAGGAGGAAGAACCAAATTCAACATGTAGCAGCAGAATCTAGGATAGAAAGAGGGAATCTCGGCTGGGGGTAACCAATTATACACGAGAAATACATCGTATATTAATTTGGGTAATGCTAACAGTTAAAACAAATGAATTTTTTTAAAAATGTATATTGGTTCATGCAGGAGAAAATTTTGTTTCTCACTTTTGTAAAGACCAAAGCAAATGCTCCTGATTAGTGAGTAGACAGCTCCCTTCAAACAGGGACCAAGAATTTCAATTCAATTTTTCATATGCTGGTTTCTCCATCTTCAAACCATGGCTTCCAAGGTCACTGTGCTCATCTGCATTGAGCCAGTAGGAGCCATAACAGCACGGAGGATTATGCATGGGGAGAATTCATGGGCCACCTATGAAGCTGGAACCCGTCTGTTTTACCAACAATGAGCAGAAATCAGTTACATGGTCATACCTAACTGCAAGAAGACTGGGAAATATCATCTTTGTGCCCAGGAGGGAGGGGAAACAGGCTTGCTGAACACTTAGTAAGTCTCCAACACACATTGTGAAATGAGAATGCATGTGCTTCTAAAAAGAGTGCACTTTAACTATAATATATTCATCTATGACCAGTGATTTATTGGCAACACAAGCACAATTTAAATTGAAGGGCAGTGGCATGATGGGATACTGCAATGAAAATGAGCCCATTGAGCTCATTCGTGTGTTTTTGAAATTGAGGCATCCCACATTGTTCTGTCTTAAGCAAAACAGCATGTCAAATTTAATATTTTCCCTATTATCTATCACACAATGTCATTTTGTATACAGAAATATTTCATAGTGTGCCAGTCTGTTTTCCCAGTTTCAGAGAAAAAAAAATAACTCTTGAACTTCTAAAAAAAAAAAGGCCAGCTTTCAATCCCCAAGGTTTTAAGACATCTTTGTACCTCAGAGCCACATCTGCCAATGGATTAACTGAGAAACAAAGAAAGCACCAGCTATTCATTAGCTCTAGAAGGAAATTACCCTGCCACTTCAGCAGTTGCAAATGCTATCATTCTCCTATGGTGATAGAAGATCATTTGAAACCAGTTTCTCAGTAACTGAGATGACAATGAAAACAACTTAGCCCTGTTGGCTAATTCTCTCTTTTATGTGTATTTTTGGCCAAAAGGCATTTGCCTCTCCCAGCAAACTTGATTTTTACATCATTTTGAAAATATATATGGTGAAAGCATACAGCTATAGGTATTCATTTAATGCAAGTTGCATACATATGTTTTTTTAATGAGCAATTGAGTAGCATGCTCTGCACAGAGAAAGTATTGAAAAGATATTAGTTGAGTGAATTAGGACTTAACAGTCGCATGGCCTATCTTTCACTGGCTAGTCAATGAATTTTGGGTGTTTATTTTTGTGTATCTCTAAATATGGTACGATTCATATGCAAAGATCCTTGGTACTTTTTGTATATAAAGCTATCTTTACTATAATAAAGTTGATCTTTCTTAATATGAAAACATAGGAATAAGGAAAAAAAAATTGGAGATGGGGAGTTCAGTGACAAAGGGAAAAATTCCTACCCATTCCACAAAAGGAATCCTTAGCTTTTAATTATTCATTCATCCTTCATTCAATAAATCTTTCGGGATCCTGTAGGACCTTGTTAATCAAAGTGTAGTCTGCAGAGCAGCAACATGGGCATCACTTTCAGCTTGTTAAAAATGCACGGTCTTAAAATCCAATTCAGATTTCCTGAATCAGAACAGGTTTTAACAAGATCCCCAGGTGACTTGTATGCACATTAAAGCTTGAAAAGCACTGCATACACAGCATTCCATTGTATACAGACTTTTTCACATCAGCAATCATTGGTCAAATAGCACTAAGCAATTAGAATAGAACCTGTAGCGAATGGCTGTTTCTCAAGTGGGGGTGGCTTTGCCAGGGAACATTTGGCATTGTCTGGAGACATTTTGGATGGTCAGAACTGAGGGGATATGTCTAGAATCTAGTGGGTAGAGTCCAGGGATGCTGTTAAACATCCTGCAATGCAGAGGACAGCTCACACAACAAAGAATTACCTTCCCAAAATGTCAACAGTGCACCAGTGAGAAGCCAAGGACAGCGGCCGGGTAAACTGTAGCTTCTATCAGAAGGATCTGGAGGGCTTGATAAAATGCAGATTGCTGGGCCCCTCCCCAGACTTTCTGCCTGTTGGTCTGGGCTGGGGCCTGAGAATTTGTGTTTCTATCAAGTTCCTAGATAATTCCAGTACCACTATTCTGGAAGCTGTACTTTGAGAAACGTTGGTACAGAGGGCCGGGAGATGCTACTCGGCCCACTGTGGTCTTTGGCTGTATCCTCTTGATGGTTCTGGAAACTCCTGGCTCTCATTTGCCTCGACCTTGTTTAGAACTTCCCAAATTAACCAGAGCCCAGGGTGCCTTGATACTTAGGAACTGACAAGGAAGCTAGGCAGTGAAATCTTTTCCAGGGTTGCTTGGAATGGGAATGCGTAGTGCAGGAAGGGCTGAGGCAAAGGAGAAGATACAGTGCTATTGTCATTTACAGATGATACCAGATGGCAGCTAAATTCAGAGTCCAGACTGCCTGAGGGGCTTGCTAATTAGAAGAGACTTCAGCTGCAGGAAACACCCTCATCACCCCAATGGCAGCTGGGCAGCCCCAGGGAAGGCTGGATTGCCAGTAGAAATTTTTGTTTGTTATAAAGTAGGACTTGAAGGGTAAAAATGACAAGTTCAATTTGGACCATATTTAACTGAGAGGGAGAGGGAAATATATTTACAATGGGGGTGGCAGAGAGTGATCAAGGGGGACAGGTAGGTTCAGCTAGATGGGAATCAGAACCTGGAAAGCGATGAGCAGCTGGAGCCCAGGCCAGGTCCCAAGGTGCCCCCACTGTCCTCGGCATCCCTGCAAAAACAACAAAGATTTCAAGATGGAATCTGTGGTTTCTACTCACCAACTGCTGTATGCCCTCTACTATTTGTTATTCCTTAAAAAAAAAAAAAAGCTATTGATTTGACACCTTTAGGAAGGAAGGCAGGCATCTTCTGCTTTGTTTAATCAGCTAACTGTCTTTCTTTGGTTGGCAACCAGCACTGAGATAATTTTGTTCTATGGGCGGCATTTAGCAAAACCCCAGGACTGTGAATGAGGGAAAAGCAGCAGGGAGGGGAACAACTACCCGAGCAGCTGTTTCCGGGCTACACCCCAAGTAGCAGGATTTGGGCCAAGTTCACAATATTCTCCTCTGCTGGAAATTTTAACAAGATTTCCTATAAACTGGGACTAAGTTGGAGACATGCACCTAAAATAATTTTTTGTTTTTTACAGTTTAGTTCAGTGGGATACAGGATCTTTAGGTGGATTTTCTTCTTTTGAGATTGGATTTTACAAGGAAAACTTTAGGAGAAAATAAATCTCAAGTATATTCACATTTGAAAACCACTTCAGACTTTATTTTGTACCCCTCTATTGTATCCTGTAATTTTTTGAAGTATGTAGAAGTATAATCTGTTTCTAGGGAGAAAACATTTACTAATAGTCCTTTTCAAACACACCTTTCTCAATTTTTGCTCTGGGCCTCTTCGAGTACATGCCCCAAACATCTAGAAACATCTTTTCTGTCTCAGTCCCACTTCTCTTTTCTACCTCTCTGCAATACCAACGAGATTCTAGCCACAGCTTGGGAGGGTGTAGGGCACTCTTCATCCCTGGAGGGCGGGAAGGAGACTTCCATGTGAGGCACCTTGCACCCAGGCACAGATCTTCCAGATTCTTCACAAATGTGACTACCAGTCAAACTACACTTTCTCTTGCTAACATGGAGCAATGAACTCGTAGCTCATAGGTAGGCTCAAAATCACTCTTCCTATAAGCCTGAAGAGTGGTGTTCAGTCTAGCAGGTAAGAAGCTTGGAAGTCACCACTGTCCTATCAACAAAGAAAATGCTGAATAAACTGAAAAAGCAACAGGTCTTCTTAGATCCATAAAAGAAGTGAAGTCACAGTGAAAACTGCTACCCCTAAAACAGGAGAAACTGACAGGTGAATACAGAGGATCACAACTTACCAGAGCAGGAACCCATCAGCTGGAACCTCTGCAGATGCTGGAGCCAAAGTAGGAAAACCTTAACTACCAGCATGAAGAGATGCAATCGAGAGGAAGAAATAGAAAACACGTCCCGCCTGCATTCTATTCTGTGACATATTCCTTCCCCGATTCTTGCCCACTCCTTCCATTCAGATACACTGACTATTTTACTGCAGATACTAAAACCTTGAATTTATAATCATTGGACTGGTATTAAAGTGCATGCTTTATATGAAAATGGTACTTTAACCAGTTTTTGCTTATGTAAGTCATTCCTAAATATATACCCAGTTCTCTTAATGGGAAAACACTTTCTCCTGTTAGAGTTAGAACTTGTAACTGATCTGTAAGGGAACTAGAGATTACCTCCAACCCCCTTTAGCTCTCAGTGGGCTCTTCAACTGGATCTAGAAACCAAATTGACATGAGGCAGATTAACAAGAAAAAAGCAAACACATTTTATTAGTTTTCCATGAATGTGGAGATCTTAACATGAGAATTGAAGCTGAAGAAGTGGCCAAAACAATTTGTTTTATACTTTTTAGACAAAGAATGATGAATTTGAGAAAAAAATTACAGGACAAAGAAAATCAGGCTGGGGCAGTAAATTTCTTGGGAAATAGAAGATATAGGTGGGGGTGGGGTTGTATGTAAAACTAGTGGAAAATAAGGATTACTTCATTAAGTGCATTTATTCAGGTCCATTGCAGCCCTTAATTCCCTGTCTCTTGTGATCAGGCTATTTCCTCACCCTTGTATGGAGAGGAGGAGGTACCCCTGCCAGGGGAATCCTTATGGCTTGCTACATGTAGGAAGAGAAGGCCAGCTAGCCCTTACTGAAACTACAATTTCTTCAATGTATTCAACTCGAAATAGTCAATATACCAATCTCGCATATTTTGGGATGGCACTTCTTTCGCTTCTTCAGATTAATAAACAAAACAGCATCGAGTTCTCTCATCAGGCCCTTACTGTAAAACTTTGAAGATTTCCATTCAATGTGCTACCAAATCACATGTTCTTGCATTGTTTCCACTGGGAATCATACCATAGGTACAAAAAAGCTTCCACCTTTTTTGGGAGCATGTGCACAGTGTAGGTATGTCCAAGCAACTAGAAAACAGCAAGTACTGAATTATGGCTGTTATCAATCTCGGGTTAATTTGGGAATTTTAACATTTTATTAAGCAAAATACGGAGCTCACAGTTATCTGTGATGTTTAATTATAAATACATCACACACACGAATACAACAAACTTGTATCAAGTTGTATGAATTTAATTTTTCATTAAGACACAGCGCAATTTTTACAATTATAAAGAGAATAAAGAATTATTTCTGTGACTTGTCATATATCTAATGTAGTTAAAGGAAAATATTAGGCTAAGATGCAACCAGTTTAAAGCCAAAAATTTTAGACAATGTGTAGAGTTGACACTTGAACAAAACAAGGGTTAATATTGCCAAACCCTGCACAAAAATCCTCATATAATGTTTGACTCCACCAAAATTTAACTAATAGCCTACTGTTGACTGAAGCCTTACCAATAACATAGTCAATTAACACATATTTTGTATGCTATATGTATTTATACTGTATTCCTACAATAAAGTAAGCCAGAGAAAAGAAACTGTTATTAAGAAAATTGTAAGGAAGAGGAAATATATTTACTCTTCACTAAGTGGAAGTGGACCATCATAAAGCTCCTCATCCTTGTCATCTTCATGTTGAGTAGGCCAAGGAGGAAGAGGAAGAACAGGAGTTGGTCCTGCTATATTAAGAGTGGCAGAGGTGGAAGAAGATTTGCCTAAAAGTGGACCCAGGTCGTTTAAACCAGTGTTATTTGGGGTCAGTCGTATTTTTAAATTAAATGATCTGGAAGCACTCCAGATCCTGTCGTTGGTTCCAAGGTATGGATACATTTTAAATTCTTCACTCTCTTCTCTAAAGACATTTGCTTATCTGGGGCAGGTTGAATGAGTCCCGGCTCTAGACTTTACATGATAAATGTTGTATTATGATTTCATCTCTGTACATTAACTTTGTCTCCCTACTAATTACTTCATGCAGTAATTCTCACCCCTCTCATTAGGCGTAAGAACACACCAGGTCTACTTAGTTTGAGGAAGACATCAAAGACAGGATGGTGACCCTGAAGAGTCAATGGTGGCAGCCTAGTTTAGAGTTCAGAAATTTTACGCTATTTAAATAATGTTCAAGCACATAGGAATGTTTTTTATGTATATTTATTTATTTATTTATTTATTTTTTGAGATGGAGTCTCCCTCTGTCGCCCAGGCTGGAGTGCAGTGGTGTGATCTTGGCTCAGCAACCTCTTCCTCCTGGGTTCAAGCAATTCTCCTGCCTCAGCCTCCTGAGTAGCTGGGATTACAGGTGCCCACCACCACGCCCAGCTAATTTTAGTATACTTAGTAGAGACAGAGTTTCACCATGTTGGCCAGGCTGGTCTCGAACTCCTGACCTCAGGTGATCCACCTGCCTCAGCCTCTCAAAGTGCTGGGATTACAGGCGTGAGCCACGGCACCCAGCCAGGAATGTTTTTTAGAATAAAACATATAAATCATCTTGTGGTGGCTCAAAAAGCTTGTTCTACTCATTCCCTCGAAACACAAAAGTTTTACTTAACTAATAGGCATAACATATTTCTATGAAAGAGAAACTTGTTTTAGATACTGTGAAGAAAGAGAAAGGATTTCTATGAAAGAGAAGCTTGTTTTAGATACTGTGAAGAAAAAGAAAGGATACTGTGAAGAAAGAGAAAGGATTGGAAGCACTGATGTCTAAATATTAACCAGTAACCATTCAAAATATTTAAGAGTCTACACAGTGGCATGGAACATAACAGAAATGAGAAATAGTTTCATACAGCAAAGTGAGATACAACAGTGGCTCAGTGTGCTAATTTTCCCCAGAGGCTTAATTTTCTTACTCTTGTGAATTCAAGTCTTTGTTGCAGTGCATATACCTGGATGTGTTTAGTGTTTGTCTCCTTATGCCTAAAGATAATTGACCTTTAAAAAATGGAATAATTTTGACCTCACGTACACACAATGCATACTCATAATTTTATAGCAAAAATGAGAAGTGTTACCAAAAGTCTTTATGTTGCCCATTAAAATGATAAAGAAAAAGGATAAGGGAGGGAAATGTGTTTTAAATTCAACAGGGATTCTAGTTGGTTTCTTCCTAAGACTTTCCTATTCCTATGTCCCTTCAACGCCTCCTCTCACCTTCCTGTCCTTCACCAAGGCATGTCTACCTCACCGTTTCTTTTCCTTGCTTTGTTTTCCCTTTGATCGCTTTCTTCTTTTACCCTTTGCTTCAAGCCAGGAGTCGTTTGCAATTTTCAATGACATACATGAAGAGCACCGGTAGGAAACTGAGAGCAAAGGAGGGGTGGCCTGAAGGAGTCCCTGAAGCCAGGTGCCTCTCTGGAGGGTGCTGGCCTCAAGATTCCAGCAATGCTGTCTGAACGCTCACTCTGCTCGGCGCTCTTCTAGGTACTTTGTATTAATTCAGCACTTAGGAAACCCACAGAGGTGACTATTGTTATTCCCATGTTACAGATGGGAAATTGAGGCACAGAGGGGCTGCATGATACTTATTAACAAAGGTACCGTGGCTAGAGATACCTGGAAGCCAGTGATTCCTGAACCTGAGAAGCATACAGTTTTGTTTTATCCATTTATTCCTTTTTCTATAACTGGCAAAAGAAGGGGGAAAAGACTGAGTATATAAGAGCATAAATAACTGAAAGAAGATATAGAAAACTGAAATATCACACCCCTGAAGCCATGGCAAGAGTGTTTCAAACTCAGTGTAAGAACTTCGGCCAAATAAAAACAAAACAGGTGATTTTTATCAGCACTCGTTTTTCTTCAGGATGTAGTTCAAATAAACCAATTGCCTAGTTCCTGAAGAGCTATGGGGTCAGTTAACTAAGGTCGGTTTCCAAATCTATAAAGTGAGTATACTAATAAATAATTCCTGCCTATTCTACCTCCTAAGAGTTACTGGAACAATCAAATGAGATAAAGTGTGTAGAGCTCTGTGATCACAATGTGGTACAAGCTCCTCATCCACATTATTTAACATTTCTCCATAGGAAGTTCTAGTCTCAGTATTTACACAGAGTACTGCTTGACTGCAATGATGATAGCAAACAACTATTGGCCACCTACTATGTGCCAGACACATCAATGTGTATTAGTTCATTAGGACTTTCAATAATCTGATGAGGTTGATAATAATATCATCCCCCTCTATACACATGGAGAAACTGAGGAATGAAGCGATTGCTTTGCCGAAGGTCCCACTGCTAGAGCTGGTATTTGAACACAGAAAGTTCAAAAGATATGATCTCTACAGACATGATTACAAAAACTTGATCAACATGATGTAAATTTGTCTTCCTATAAAAAGAAATTCTATTATAAGTGAATCATCTACATTCAAACAAAACTAAGATCGTGCCAGTGGGTTTACCATTATTCCAGAGTCTTTGATATGCTTCTTATTAGCTTTGGAAAAATTAACAAACAAAGGTTGAAGGAGCACATGTTACAGATCTTGTGGAGAAAACAAGGAAATAGGGCACAGTTCCTTCTCCAAGCAGTCAGAGCCTGTCTAATAGAGATTTTATGAAGTCCTTAGTTCTGCTACTTTTTGTTGTTGTTTTGTTTTGAGACGTAGTCTCACTCTGTCGCCCAGGTTGGAGTGCAGTGGTGCGATCTTGGCTCACTGCAACCTCTGCCTCGCGGATTCAAGAAATTCTCCTGCCTTGGCTCCTGAGTAGCTGGGATTTTAGGTGTGCACCACCACACCCAGCTGATTTTGGTATTTTTAGCAGAGACGGGGTTTCACCATGTTGGTCAGGCTGGTCTCTAACTCCTGGCCTCATGATATGCCCCACCTCAGCCCCCCGCCAAGTGCTGGGGTTACAGGCATGAGCCACTGCGCCTGGCTAGTAAATTTTTAATGTTAAACTTTTATAATCTAGACCATAACTGGAGGTAAAATGGAAATCCACTAAGTGAGTAACTAAGGTTCTAAGATTCTGGTGCCAATCAATGGACATTTGTTCAATACCTACTAAATGTCAGGAATATAATCATATATTCCAGCCCTTGGAGAGGGGTGGGGGTTAAACTCTATCAAGAATGATAAAATACTAAATAAATTATTTCAATAATATATGACAATATTATATATAAGTGCTAAGAATGATTTTATTTACCGGCTGCTTATAGAACACATAAGAAGTGGGAGATCATAAATTAATATTAAAAGAATTAGGAATTAGTTTGGTTAACTAGAGAAAGTTTTAGATGGAGTTCTATACAAGTTCATTTACTGTATTATTTTGGGTTTGAAATATGTAGGAAAAGAAGAGGAGAGGGAGGAGGAGAGGAAGAAAGAACAGGAAGAGGAGGAGGAAGAAGAGAAAGGAAAAGGGAAGAGGCAAACAAGGAGAAAGGGAAGGAGAAAAGAACTAGACAGATACAAATAGACCTTGAAACGGAAGTTTCTTTATTTACTCTTCTTTTCCCCTATATAAGAACCCCAGTCCACAGCCAATCCTTTCTTTTAGAAACAGCTTTAATGAGATATAATTCATATACTATAAAATGGACTCATTTAGAGTGTATGTCAATGGTTTTAAGCACACTCAGAGTTGTGCAACTGTCACCAAAATCAATTTTAGAACATTTTTATTATCCCCAGAAGAATCCCTGTAACAATTAGCAGTCACTCCCCATTTTTCTTCAACCCCCATCCCTCAGCAAAATGAATCTACTTTCCATGTCAATAGGTTTGCCTAAACTAGGCATTTTATATGAATGAAACCATGCAATATATGGTCCTTTATGACTGGCTTCTTTCACTTAGCATACTACTTTCAAGGTTCCTACATGTTGTATCAGGTATTAGTACTTTCTTTATATACTATCATATAATAGTATCTGATTATATGAATATGTCACATTTTATTAATCCATATGTCAGTTGTTGGATAAATGGATTGTTTCTACTTTTTGGCTATTAGAAGTAATGCTGCTATGAACATGATTGTGCAAGTTTTTATGTGGATATATCTTTTAAAATACCTAGGAGAAGAATACTGAATCGTTTGCTAACTCAATGCTTACTATTTCTAGAAACTGCCAAAATGTTTATGTTTGCCAAAATACCTGTACCATTTTACAATCCTACCAGCAGTGTATGAGGGCTTCAATTTTTCCATGTCTTTCCCAACGTATTACTGCCTTTTAGTTTAGCCATCCCAGTGGGTATGAAGTAGTTTCTCATTGTGGTTTTGATTTGCATTTCCCTAAAGAATAATGATGTTGAACATTTTTGCATGTGCTTATTGGCCACTTCTATGTCTCTTTTGCAGAAGAATCAGAAATGGAATAATTTAGCTTTTTTTGCCTGTGTAGATTGTTTTTCATAAACTTTGGTAAATATTTGGACATTATTTTCCCAAATATTCTTTCTGCTGCTTTCTCTCTCTTCTCTTCTGGGGCTCACATTATGTGCATTTTGGTTTGATGATTTTCACAGGTCTCTGAGGTTTTGTTCATTTTTTCAGATTAATAGATTTATGTTTTAGATGTGCAGAAAAATTGAGTGGAAAGTATACAGAGCTTCCATTTTCCCCTTAATCCCCCTTTCACATGCAGTTTCTTCTATTGTGAATATCTTGCGTTAGTGTAGTGCATTTGTTAAAATTGGTAAGCTAATACTGATACATGATTATTAATTAAAGCCCATAGTTTGCATTAGGATTCATTCTTGTATTCAACATTCTATGGATTTTAAAACAGTTTAAGGACATGTATTCACCATCACAGTATCATACAAAATAGTTTCACTGCTCTAAAAATACCCTGTGATCTACCTATTCATTCCTCCTCTCTCCCAAAGCCCTCATGACCACTGATTGTTTTGTTTTTAGTTTTGGCTTTGCTAGAATACTATAGTTGGATTCATATAGTATGTAGCCTTTTGAAATTGGCTTCTTTCACTGAGCAATATGCATTGCTTGTTCTTCATGTCTTTTTGTGGCTTGATACCTCATTTGTTTATTGGTAAATAATATTTCATTGTATGAATGTTCACAGCTTGTTTACCTATTAACCTATGGAAGCACAGCTTGGTTGCTTTCAAGTCTTGACAGTTATGAATAAAGACGCTATAAATATTTGTGGGCAAATTTTTATGTGGACATAAATTTTCAACTCATTTGAATAAACACCAAAGAGAACAATCACTGAATCATATGGTGAGAGTGTGTTTATTTTTCTATGAAACTGGCAAATGGTCTTCCAAAGTGGCTATTTTGCACACCACAAGCAATAAATGAGAGTTCCCGTTACTCTACATCCTCACCAGCATTTAGGGATGTCAATGTTTTAGGTTGTAGCTATTCTAATTGGTGTATAATGGTATCTCATTGTTGTGTTAATTTTCAATTCTCCAATGACATATGATGTTGAGCACCTTTTCGTCTGCTTACTTGTCATCTGTATATCATCGTTGCTGAGATATCTGTTCAAATATTTTGCTTATTTTAAAATTTTATTTTATTTTACTTTAAGGTCCAGGATACATGTGCAGAATGTGCAGGTTTGTTACATAGGCATACGGGTGCCATGGTGGTTTGCTGCACCTCTTGATCCATCCTCTACGTTCCCTCCCCTCGCTTCCCACCCCCCAACAGGTCCTGGTGTATGTTGTTCCCCTCCCTGTGTCCATGTGTTCTCAGTGTTCAACTCCCACTTATGAGTGAGAACATGCGATGTTTGGTTTTCTGTTCCTGTGTTAGTTTGCTGAGAATGATGGTTTCCAGCTTAACTGACTTATTTTTTTAATGGGTATCCTTGTATATTTTGGATACCAACGCTTTATCAGATATGTACTTCACAAAGTTTTTCTTGCAATCTGTGGTTCATCTTTTCATTTTCTTAAGTGTCTTTAACAGTGCAGAAGTTTTTAATTTTAATGAAGACCAACTTACCTTTTTTTTTTTGAATCATGATTAGTGCTGTATCTAAAACACCATCACCAAACCCAAGGCCACCTAGATTTTCTCCTATGTTTTCTTATAGTTTTATACTTTCACTTTTTATAGTGAAGTCTATTATTCATTTTGAGTTCATTTTAGTGAATGCTTGTGAAAGATGTAGGATGATCTGTGTCTAGGATGTTTTGGGGGTTTTTTTGGCATGTGGATATTCCAGTTCCATTTGTTTAAAAGATCATGCTTTGTCCATTGAATTGCCTCTGTCTCCTTATCAAAGAGCAGTTGACTTTGTATGTGTGCGTCTATTTCTAGGCTATCTATTTTGTTTCTTTGATCTATTTGTCTATTATTTTGCCAGCACTACACTGTCTTGGTTACTATAGCTTGATAGTATACCTTGAAGTTGGATAGAGTCAGTCCCGTGATTTTGTTCTTCTCCTTCAATATCATGTTAGTTATTTGGGGTCTTTTGCCTCTCCTCATAAACTTTAGTCAGTTTGTAAATATCCACAAAATAACTTATTGGGGTTTTGATCAGGATTACATTGAATCTTCAGATCAACTTGTGAAGAACTGATATCTTAACAAAATTGAATCTTTCTCTTCATATGCATAGAATATCTTTCCATTTATTTAGATCTTCTTTGATTTCTTTTATCAGAGTTTTGTAGTTTTTTTATATAGTTTAGGGACCTAACATCTTTTGTTAGATTTGTATCTTATTTCTCTCTTTTTCTTGCTAATGTAAGGGCATTAGGTTTTTGCTTTCAAATTCCAATTATTCACTTATGATGTATGAAAAAACAATTGACTTTTGTATATTATCCTTGTATCTTGCAACCTTGCTATAACTGCTTATTAGTTTTGGTAGTTTTTTTTGGGGGGAGAGGGGATTCTTTGGCATTTTCTACTTAGGCAATTATCTCATCTGCAAACAAAGAGATTTTTATTTCTCTATTCCTGATCTGTATATTTTTATTTCCTTTTCTTGTCCTATTGCACTAGATAGACTTTCCAGTACAATACTGAATGAGTAATGGAAGAAGTATCTTTGCCTTTTCCTAATTTTAGCAAGAAATCATCTAGTTTGTCATCATTAAGTATGGGGTTAGCTGTAGAAGTATTTTTTTTTTTGTAGCTGCTCTTTATCAAGCTCTGTTTATTATTCTTTATTCTTTTTTATTTCTATTCTTTTTTTTTTTTTTTTTTGAGATAGAGTCTCACTCTGTTGCCAGGCTGGAGTGCAGTGGCACGATCTCTGCTCACTGCAACCTCTGCCTCTGGGGTTCGAGTGATTGTCCTGCCTCAGTCTCCTGAGTAGCTGGGACTACAGGCGTGCGCCACCAAGCCCAGCTAATTTTTGTATTTTTAGTAGAGACGGTGCTACACCATGTTGGCCAGGACGGTCTTGATCTCTTGACTTCATGATCTGTCCGCCTCAGCCTCCCAAAGTGCTGAGATTACAGGCATGAGCCACCAGGCCTGGCCTTATTTCTATTCTTTACGTTGGATAATTTCAATTGACCTATCTTCAAATTCACAGATTCCTTTTACCACCAGCTCAATCTTGCTATTAAACTTCTTCAGTAACTTATAATTTTCAACACCAGAATTCTTTGTTTCTTTTTTATAGCTTGTATCTATTGGTATTCTCTATTTGGTGAGACATTATGCTCATATTTTCCCCTATTTCCATAGATATCATTTGGTTTTATTCTTTGAACATATTAATAATAGCTGATTTAAAATATTTGTTTAGTAGATGAAACATCTAGACTTCTTCAGTGATTGCTTCTAGTGATCGCTTTTTAACCTGTGTATGGGCCATACTTCCTATTTCTTTGCAAGTCTCATAATTTTCTGTTGAAAACTGGACATTTAATTAATATGATATGGAAACTCTAGAAATCAGATTTCATCTCTTCCCCAGGGTTTGTTATTATTGTTGTTTGTTGTTATTGTTATTGCTGCTTTTTTGTTTAGTGACTTTCCCAAACTAATTCTGTAAAATTTCAGTTTTTTGATACGTGTGGCTGCTGAAATAGAGATTTTATTAAATGCCTTGATCCAGTAAGTCTGTCAACCTTGCTGTGGGCTTTGTGTAAGTGTGTTAGAGCACATATTCAATACTTGGGCAGTTTGCAACACTGCCTAAGCCTTTAATTTCTGCTTCAAGGTCAGCCAGAGGTGAGAGAGAGTGACTTTTTAGGGTAGGCATGTGCATCACCTTGTGGTTTCCCAGGATTGTATCAGAGTATTTCAAAGCCCTCATGGGCATCTTATCTTCGGCTTTTGTTTGTACAGTTTTTTTAGTCTGCCTCTTGTTTGCCTCAAATATTGTCCCTGCCACAGATAGCTGTGATATTAAAAAATCACCATTGATTGTTTTCAATCAGTTTTTCCCAGGGAAAAAGTTGTTCAGAATGAGTTAATTCTGACTCAGGTCAAATAAAGATTATCTGGAAATGAAGTTTGGGTGGCTTGAGAGGGAAGCTGCAAACTTTTCTGCCACCTTTATTCTGATTCTGTTCTGCTGTGTTTTGCAGATACATTCATTGCAAGGATATTGATTTTTTATATGGTTTGGCTTTGTGTTCCCACCCAAATCTCATCTTGAATTGTACCCAGGTGTTGAGGTGAGAAGTGGGAGGTGGTTAGATCATGGGGGCGGTTTTCCCCATGCTGTTTTCATAATAGTGAGTTCTCACGAGATCTGATGGTTTTATAAGGGGCTCTTCCCCCTTGGCTTCTGTTTCTCCTGCTGAGGTGTGAAGAAGGTGCCTGCTTCCCCTTCTGCCATGACTGTTTCTCCAGCTCCCCAGTCATATGAAACTGTGAGTCAACTAAACCTCCTTTGTTTATAAATTACCCAGTCTCAGGTAGTATCTTTACAACAGTATGAAAATGGACTAATACAGTTTTCAAGATTACTGCAGATCTCTGGAGAGGGGAATGAGAATGGGGAACATTACAATACCATAAAGTTCACTGGCCTTATGAAACTCAGTCATTTGTATGGAATTAATGCTTCACACATTGCTGCAAACCTTTGGTTAATTTCCAGAGTTCTGAAAAAGTTGATTTTGGTATTTTTGCCAGTGTCTTCAGGGTTTTTATGAATGAGTAGTTTTTCAGAGGTCCTTCCTCCACCATTCTGAAAGTCCTTTTGCTACCACTGATTCTTATAGTCAAATAACAGCACTTCTAATGTCCCATAAGTGTATGCAGTAATAGAATATGTCCCTGGGGAATATGAGAGAGAAACCCCAGAAGCCTGTGGAATGAAGTGTAGGCACCTAGTGGTCCAATATTGTTTAACCATAAAGAGGACATCTTCTAGGAGTTACTCTGTAAATTTGCTCATTTCTGTTTTGTTCATTTACTCTTAGTTTCTAATGAAAGTTTATTATTATGAAGAATGTTGGTCTTATCTCTCCTGAATATGCAGAAAAGATATTTCTCCATTCCAGTTGGGTGATTAGCAACTTGCAATTCACTGAGTGCTGTGGTAATACCCTATGGAAAATTTCCGGGGCAAGGAGGGGCAAATGTGCTATAAATACCCAGAGAGCGCAGACAGGGCAAGTTTCTTCCTGTGCTGTTAGTTTTTATCTGTGCTGATTTGTCCTTCATATTCATATGAGATGAATAATCTGTAACATTTCTAGAAATAAGCATTGAATTTTTCTTCTCACAGTGGATATGAACTTTAACTCAACAGCAGTCATTTTTCATTTTTTTTTTACATAATCTAAAACAAAAACACCACAGGAAGAGTTCTGTTTTAAAATTTCTTTTAAAGTTATCCATTCTAACTGAAACTTTAAAGTTTACATTTTTACAATGGACACAGATTTTCTAAGAATCTGTACACAGGAAAAGAAAAATAACAATAAGAGATAGTACAAAAAAGCAAGGAAATCATAAGGTCAGAGATCAGAAAGAGTTGTTAAAATATTGCTTAATCATCTTGTATGGGGCCAGTCTTTGCTAGGTACTTAGGATGAACCTTGAAAATGCCACAGACTCTGTTTAAGTCTAGCAGGGAAGAAAAATGCATAAGCAACCAATTATAACACAGTATGAAGGGGGCTAATAGCAGAGAAACAAGCCTCCAGGACAACACATGGGAGGAGGAGGCACTCAGTCTGTGGACACAGAGAGGAAAACATCTCAAGGGACAAAGTTCTTGTCCCCATTTGGAGAGCAATTCTCTCCACATGAATCTGCCATGGCACACACAGCAGGACTTCAGTCACTTTTGAGAGTCTTTTTGGACCTCATCACTTTAAGAGGACTCCTTGGGGCTCCAGAGCACTTCCTGTTTAAGGAGAAAATTGGTGATACAACTCTTCAAATCAAAGTTAGACATTCGTTGAGTAAGATATTTAGTAGGATAGTCACCATCTTCTCTGCCCCACTTCTGAACGATCCTGGCCATGTCCACTCCAGAAATGCCTGGGTGACTGACCAGACACATCCTTTTGAGAGGGAGAGGAAGCACCTCACTTCTAAAAGGAAATGTACAAACGAACATGGCCCCTTTGTGTCCCTTCCTCGAGGTCAGCTATCAGAGTTTTCCAAAATAAAACATTATGACATTTGAGAACACAAATATTACAGTAATTATTTCTTTACTTTGACCCAGTCTTGACATGATTTGCTCCCTTGGCCTTCAGACAATATTTTGGAAATGATGTGAGCATAACATGTTTTTTCAATATTGAGTCATAAAACTATTTCATGCATTTTAACATCCTTGCTTGTGGTTTATGCAAACTACAGAGATTTGCATAGTTCCAAACACATAGGCTTGTGTAAAGTCTGTCTTTTACTCTCGAATCTCATAATCTTGAGATATTAAAACGTTTTACACACTGTCTTTATCACAAGCTGATGCTACCACTCCCTTGTCAAGTGTGAAGAAGAAGTAGTTTGTTATAAGGAATTGTACATTTGCCCTGAGAGTAAGGGACATAGTATACAAAGAGAGAAGGGAGGCCTAATTTGCAACCTAGGGGCTCCTTCTCAGGGGGCAGAGGCAAGTTTAGCAAAGGGATCACAGTTTTCTTCTGTCACTGCAAAATTTGTTAAGAATTTTCTCATTCATTCTCCCAGGTAAAGACAGGAGAGAATACGAGGATAGCAGCTTGTATTTTCTATTCCACTCTCAGTAGAGAGCTTAGGGTTACAACTTGAGGTGTAGAGGTAAGTTGAAAGCGCTGTGGCATTCCCAGGTGAGTAACTGGGGAGAGAAAGCCAGCTGAAACCTGCCTTTGCCCAGACTCTGAAGGATAGGAGGGGCAAAGACAAGCCACACTCAGCAGGCATGAGGCAGCAGAATGAGGGAAACTAGAACGCAAAAGTATAGAAGCAAATCCAGGAGAGGGACACATGGATTTTTGTGTAACTGAGGCATATATACTGATTGTCTTTCTAAGTCAGCTATATATAACAGTGTAAATGCCCATGGCCCCCAGCAATCAGCTAATGCCTGTGAGGAAGGTCAGCCTCCTTCTGACTTGCTGCTAATCCAGTTCTCATCAACAGAAGGTGTGGCAATTCTTTCTTGAATTCTTTCGCTTCAAGAAAACAGTAATATCTCCTATACTTCTCTTACAAGAGTATATCAGTGTTTTGTTGTTGTTTTTCCCCAAGCTGCAGAAAAATAACTCTGGCTGAAGTATACAAAATATATTTATTGGGAAAATTTCAGAATACTCAACAGTTCAAAAGGAAGGATGGAGAATTAGGCTCTGAAATTAACAAGCCAAAAAAACTTCAGATAGCTTGTTAGCATGAATTAGGCAACAGCATCTTTAGGGCTCTATTAGGGGCATGAATATGCTTCCCACGCCCCCACTGCTTTTGTTCTATTTAGTTTCTCTCTCTTTGCCTCAACCCACTCAGAGTTCAGAATACCAGTACAGAGTGTGGGCAGCCTCAGTTGAATGGTGATGCTCATTCCTGCCTGGGAAAGGCAAGTGACATTTACATATAACCCAACCAAGACCACACACAATACCAAGAGGTCACCCCCTAATAGAAATCATTACTAAAAGAGGAAGAAATAGAAGCTGGCAGACAAAATGCTCTCCATTGAGAGTAATAGCACCACTCTCTTGACTTTGTTGACTTACATAGAACGTAAAAGTAGGAGGAATTTACTGGTAGTCAGCTTATGTAAGGGCTATGGACAGTCATGAATGAAGTACTGAAAACCAGAATAAGTGGGTTAATGAAAGATAAAAATTAAACATCAGGTTAAGTGAATTAGCCTGGAAACCCAAAGTAATGGGTCAATCAGTGAAGACACTACCCAAGACAAAAGAAGATGGGAGAAAAACAAACACGTGGAAGGCCAGTAACTTCATGTTCATGATCAACTCTGGGGCCCTGATATGATTTGGCTGTGTCCCCACCCAAATCTCTTCTTGAATTGTAATTCCCATAATCCCCACGTATTGTGGGAGGGCCCTGGTGGGAGGTAATTTAATCATGGGGGCAGTTTCCCCCATTCTGTTCTCATGATAGTGAGTAAGTTCTCATGAGATCTGATTGTTTTATAAGCATCTGGCATTTCCCCTTCTGGCACTCACTCATTCTCTCTCCTGCCGCCCTGTGAAGAGGTGCCTTCCGCCATGATTGTAAGTCTCCTGAGGCCTTCCCAGCTATGCAGAACTGTGAGTCAACTAAATCTCTTTTCTTTATAAATTACCCAGTCTTTGGTATTTCTTCATAGCAGTGTGAGAAAGGACTAATACAGGCCCCCAGGAAAGAAAAGGTGACACGGCCTAGGGGAGGTATTAATTTGAATTGAGGGGAGAGTTTGGTTGGAGATAAAAGCAAATCCATATAAATAAATAAATGGGAGAGAAAGTCTTCTTTACAGGAGTATTTCAATTAATAAAAACAGGACAATGAAAACAGAAAAATCATCATTTGTCAAATACCACAGTAATCATTGTTATAGGTAAGAATCATCCTTGGATGCTAAAATTAGATGGTAAATGTATCATGATGAACAGGATATTTGTAGAGTCTCAAATTATCTTCCCACAAGGTGCTTATTAATTTAAAGGAGAAAATTGTAACTTCACAGTGGAGAAACCTGGCAGATGCCACCTAAACCAAATGATTAAAGTTAACATCACCAGTAATAAGACACACCAAAACCTTGTACCTTTAAATATGACACACTGGGAAGGGTCCAACATCACTACTGTTACATTGTTGTCAAAAATGCATAACTTCAATTCTAATCAAATCAAATGAAATAACTAACCAGTAGTCTTCAGAACTGAAAGGTTCATGAGACACAAATAAGAAGAGTCACAAAAGTCACCAGATTTGGGGCTAAGGATACATGCCACCTAAATGCAATGTGAGATCCTAGGTTGAACCTAGAACCATGAAAAATACACTAGTGGGGCAATTGGCGTAATTCAAATACAACCTGTAGACTACTTAGTGATATTGCATCAACATTAACTTCCTGGTTTGGATAACTATACTTTAATTATATGATGTTAACAGTAAAGGAGAGGTATAGGAACATTACAAGTATTATTTTTATAACATTTTTGTAAGTGTAAAATTGCTTCAAAATAAAAAGTTTAAAAATGTTTAGAATAGAAAGACAAAGAGATGGAGTAAAGGAAGGAAGGAAGGAAAAGGGAGAAGAGAAAGAAAATCTAGTTATGTTTTCTTTCCATGTTATGTTTGCTTCTATAATCTCTTCCCATCCTCCAGTTAAATTGAGCGGGGATAATTCAAGGTCTTGGGTTATCAGCACAGATATTTGCATTGTTCCTCCTTACTCCCTTCCTCTCTCCTCGTCCTCCCTAAGGCCCCCTCCACCCATCCACACACACCCCACAGTGTGTGTTACTGAGACTTCATTCCCCCTAGAACCACTAGTACTCTCAACAACAGAGGTTGTTTTTGACCTTTTAAGTGCAGATGTACTGTCAGGTGAAGTAATCCCTCTCTGCCTTCGGAGTAGATCCTGATGCTCCTTCTATAGTTGACAGCTATTTTTCTGAGGCTATTGATGCTGCTGCTAATCTTACATCAGGGTCTATTCCCAATGCAAATGGCAATGGACACCACATGTGCCTCTCTGTCCTTCACTGCTACTGTTTTAACTGATTCTGCCAATGCCATTGCTGTCCCTGTCTGGATATTTTAACTGACTCTGCAAAACTCCATCCACAGCCAACCCAGCTAAGACAAAGAACCATTCATCCTATGTCTCAGTTTTTAGTTGAAACAGCAATTAACCAAAGAAATGTTATTTTCAGGCTAGGCACAGTAGTTCACCCCTATGATTCCAGCATTTTGGGAGACTGAGGCAAAAGTATTGCTTGAGGCCAGGAGTTCAAGTGAGCTATGATTGCTGCACTCTAGCCTGGGCAACAGAACAAAACCCTGTCACAAAAATGTTATTTTCAAATTAACACAATCATAGCATTTATTAATGTTTCATTTATCCTGTAAAAAGAAACTTGTTTAATTTTTTAAGTTAGGATGTTATTTTTTATCCTCCATTCATCTCATAGTTATGAGTGGTAAGGGCTTCTCACCACATTATTCTTTTATGTGCCCTTCTAGTTTATGAATTAATGTCAAATTCTAACCTTCCTATAGATACAGAATCAAATATATAAAACATGATATGCAAAATTGATTTTTGAGTATAAAGCCAGGTTTGTTTTAATTGAGTTCCATTATACCTAAATGTAGCCTTCAAGTGACAAACACGTGGAAGGCTTTTATCAACCTCCACACCTCGGACTGACATAATAACTTGCTTTGATTTCTAATATCTTTCCAATAAGAAAATATAGAGACATAATCAGTAAACTAGGTAGTATCTTTATCTCAAGCACTTCTACACATTGATTGTCCCAGCACTATTTGAATGTGTACTTATTTCTTTATTAAATTTCTCCTAAATACCACCTATAGAGCCACGATCAAATATTATCAGTTATGTAATATTCCAATTATCCACTTAGGTTAATTAATTCCAGCCATTTTCCTAAGTGAAGTGACCCAGAAAGAGAAAGTCAAAAGGCACATGCTCCCACTTATAAGTGGGAGCTAAACAATGTGTACACATAGACATACAGAGTGGAATAAAAGACATTGGAGGGGCCAGGCACAGTGGCTCACACCTGTAATCCCAGCACTTGGGGAGGCCAAGGCAGGCACATCACCTGAGGTCAGGAATTTGAGACCAACCTGGCCAACATGGTAAAATCCTGTCTCTACTAAAAATACAAAATTAGCCTGGCGTGGTGGTGCATGCCTGTAGTCCCAGCTACTTGGGAGACTGAGGCAGGAGAATCATTTGAACCTGGGAGGCAGAGGTTGCAGTGAGCCAAGATCACACTGCTGCACTCCAGCGTGGGCAACAGAGCAAGAATCTGTCTCCAAAAAAAGAGAGAGATAGAGAGAGAGACATTGGAGACTCCAAAATATAGTAGAGTTGCAGGGGTACAGGGGTAAGTGTTGAAAGACTTCTTATGGATACAATGCACACTATTCAGGTGGTGGGTACACTAAAAGTTCAGATTTCAGCACTATGCAATACACCATGTAACACAACAACATTTGTAACCCTAAATCTATAAAAATAAAAAACTAACTTCTAGGGCAATAAAATACTTTCTTTCCTGCAAATACAGTAATGTTTGCATATTAAGACCCTTCAGGTAGCAAGCACAAATTTGCCCTCAGAAAACCTCAACTGATAGAGTTTTATTATAAGGGGTGCACAAAGAAGTAAAAGAGATTGGAAACAGCTGCATAGCCAGGCTTCCAAGAGTATAGAATAAGTTTCAGCATCCTTCCACATTAACAAAGTTGGGCATAGTGGAGAAGAGAAATGCCATTCACTTTATAACATGGCCGTAAAGACTTCCTTTATGCATTACTCAGCATGGTTATCCAGCTACTCTCCGTTGCACCTTCCTGCTGTTGTTCTGGCTGCTCCTGATGAAATATTCTCTACTCTGCAATCTGCCACACAATTCTTCCTTGTTCGTAACATCTGCTACCTCATAATTTCTACTGGATTATTCCTTCTTCTTGCTACCTTCTCTTGTGCATCACCCATGTGATTGTGTCCCTCTCCGTGTATTTTATACTTAAAATCCCCTAAAAGAGAAGATCTTATCAGATTTGCTACTTAATTTTTGAGCCCAGCTCTCACGGTAGGCTCCCTCATTAGGGCCATGGACTATTCTGTAAATGGTTGGGTTTTAGTTGACAGTCATTTTAGGTCTAGTTCAAGGATGTCACTATTTGTGATTCAAATGGAACAAGGCATAGAGTTTTGTAAAAATGAGACAGTGAACATGGAAAGTTCTCTGTGGGAACTTAAAAAAGGCCTATAAGCACATTGAAGCATTGATCTATTTGACTTTTATTAGATTTTGTACCTCCTTGAATCTATTAAAAAATAGCTTTAAGTTTTTCATGCGTAAAGTTGGTTCTATTATTGGGCTCATCAGTGGGAAATGAAACCACCATGTAGGATCTGGATCACCATTAATCATCACTAAGCAAAGCAAAGGAAACTGGCTTAAGGAGCCATAGAGCATTTCCTGCTGCACCCATTTGCACTGTGTGCTAACCAGCTCAGCTAACCAACCCACTGGTTATAACACATAAACACACCCTTGTGCCCAAACACAGCCATCACTAGCAAAGTGCATCTGTGATGAATGAGATTCAATCAGCCTTCTGGCCTTCCAGGCTCAAGATAACATTTCTGCTATTGATAGTATCAATTTATAATTTAATTTCAGGTCCTAGCTCTTAAGAAATAAGGCTGTTTGTAGAGCTAAAATCTAATCCAGTTGAGGGTATTAGACAGAGTTCCATAAATTTCAATGACCACAAGATAGTCTGATCTTTTTAAAACTCAGCTAGAATGCATTTTATAAACCTGAATTTCTGAAATGAGTAATAATGAAAACAGTGATGTCAAATTTAATATTTGCTTATCCATTTACCCAGATGCATGAACTCACTGATCAGTCCGAATGTACTCTTTTTAAGAAAAGAAAAAAGAAATCCACCTGTAAGCTTTACAAAACGCAGGAAAAACATGGCTTCCTCTTAGGGTATTCAGTGAAAATTGATGCCATATCAATATGAGTTTATTGTTTGCTATTTATTTAAGAAAACAATACACGCTTATTGTGAAAGTTGCAAACAATAGAGAATGATAAACAGAAGTCGTTATTCATTGTTTCATTTATGGTTTCTTTTATGAGAGTCTGCCTTCTATATCTTTATTTAAGATGATCTGCGGCTGTACGCCCTGCCACCTTCAGCTCTCCTTGACTGTGGATGCCCCTGCTGCTCCCTGATTGATGTAGGCTTAGAGTAAGTTATCAGCCAGCTCCTGACCCATCCAAGGAGGATAATTTTATTGCATGTCTGTTTAGCCTCTGTCTGGTGCTCTCTTGAAGGCATCAATTCTCTCAGGTGAGAACCACAAATAAAATTTAAGAAATTCTCCCTCAGGCTAAGAGGTTAGGAATCATGCCAAAATTTCTCTGAATGGAGTCACTCTCTGCATAATCTCCCCGGCTCGGACCACCTCTCACAACTGTGTGCTGCTCTTTGATTAGAGGAGAATTAAAGACAATGTGGAGTCACTCAGGGGTTTGATTGGCCGTCGTTTTCTTTTCTGTTCCAGTTATCGTTTTGTTGGATTATCATAAGCGGATCTCTTGCTCCTCTCTTTCTTTTGCCATTTTTGCACATGTGGTTCCTACATAGGAAACCTATGAAATGACAAGCAACCATAAACAATAAGCATTGCCTCTGTCCTTCTTTTTACTGCACCACACCCTCCTCCTCTCCTAACAAAGAAATTTTGCAAAACTGCCTTTCTCTTCCTAGTGTAATGCAAAATCATTACATAAAAATTATAGGGTATTTTAGCCAATTTCTTCACTATACTGTGAGTTCTTCAAAGCAGTTAACCTGGGTTGCTGCCTGCATGCTTCTCTGTATTCCAAGCTTCTTCCTCCAAAGTACAAACAGGAGTGAATCAGCTCACGAAAATGGTCATAGCTGTGGAATTTAGCTCTTGGCATTTAGCCTCCCCTCTTTCTTCTCAGGCCAAGTTTCAACTATATTAATCCTAATGCATTGTAATCTGAAATAATACAAATGGAAGTTCCTTATAAAATAGATTTCTTCTCTGCAAAACAGGACAAAAAAATTATTCACCCTTTAAATGTAAACACTTTAAATGTAAACCATGAGTATGAAAAATAATCATTGTTAATTTTAAAAAACAGTGTCCTGACCAAAAAAAAAAACACCACATTTTTGCTAATCCCAAATTTTGGCTATATTTTTAAAATGCAGATTGAGTTTTGCCAGATTGCCAAATACTTTATGGAATATCGTTGGGCTGACATCCATAAAAATTGGCATCTAGTCCTGGTTTTACCCCTATCTCATTGTGAGAGTTTGAGCAATTTATTCCCCCTCTTTTCCTATTCCATTAAATGAGAAGATTTGTTAAAGAGATTGTTAAAATCCTTCTCTTTCTTCATAACTCATAGGCATCAGGATAGAACACTCACCTCCCTCCTCCCATGTTTTCATATGGAAGAATTTCCAGAAAGGGTCACTTGAGGCCTCTCACTCACATCTCCTCTGACTGATGAGTTTCCAGGGGTGTCCAATCTTTTGGCTTCCTTGGGGCACACTGGAAGAAGAATCGTCTTAGGCCACACATAAAATACACTAACATTAGTAATAGCTCTTGAGCAAAAAAAAAAAAAAAAATCGAAAAATATCCCATAATGTTTTAAGAAAGTTTACAAATTTGAGTTGGGCTGCATTCAAAACCTGAGCCACATGCGGCCCACAAGCCGAGGGTTGGATAAGCTTGTTCTACAAGCTCATTCCTGTTTGGACATGAGCTTGATCCCCAGAAGCACACTTACTCTATTCCTCTGTGCCTTACGTTTTCTGCTGGAAAAACTGATGGTTTTCTAGTTCAGACTATGACTGGGTAAGTAAATTGAATTCTGGAGTAAAGCATGAGCATATTGCAAGTTATATTCTTCAGAGAACTTTATAAAGTGGGTAATTTGATGCTCATTTGCCCAACTTCTGTGATTCTCTCTCCATTGGTTCTAAACCTGAAGGGATAGGAAATAACTATTATATATTAAGCCCACTAAAATATCCTAATTAGAGGAGCAAGGGTTTGATGAGAACAACTAGAATTGGGAAAGGAAGGAAAGATGGAAGGAAGGAAGGAAGGAAGGAAAGAAGGAAGGATGGATTGGAGAAAAATTTATGTATATTTGTTGAATGAGTGAATAAACTGATGAACAAACAAATTATGTGTGTTATTTCATAGCAGAACAATTTTACATAGCACTGATTTAAATGAAGCAATCTAAGAAAAACAAAGTAGGAGGCATCACACTTCATTTAAAATTATATTATAAAGCTATAATAAGCAAAACAGTATGATGCTGGCATGAAAACAGATGCATAGAAGATAGAAAGCCAAGAAATAAATCCAAGCATATACAGTCAATGGATTTTTAACAAGGTCACCAAAAGGACACAACATAGAAAGGAGAGTTTCTTCAACAAATGGTTCTGGGAAAACTAGATTTCTACATACAAACAATGAGATTGGACCCTTACACCATACTCAAAAATCAATTCAAAATGGATTAAAGACCTGCATGGTAGACCAGAAACTATATAACTCCTAGAAGAGAACATAGAGAAATAGCTTCTGAACATTGGCCTTGGCAATAATTTTTCTTTTGATATTACACTCAGGCCACAAATACAAAAGTAAACAAATGGTCCCATGTCAAACAACAAAAGCTTCTACACAATAAAGGAAATAATTAACAAATGGAAACATCAGTCTATAAATTGGGAAAAATATTTGGAAACCAAGGGAGGTAAGGGATTAATATCCAATTTAAAAAACTCATACAACTTAATAGTGAAAAATATTAAAAATAGTGGACAAATAGTTCAAATAAAATATAGGCAAAAGACCTGAATAAACATTCCTCCATAGAAGACATAAAAATGGCTGACAGATATATAAAATGGTGCTCAACATCATTAGTCATCAGGGAAATACACATCAAAACCACTCATGATGCCACTGCACAACTGTTAGGATGACTATTATCAAAAAGTTAAAAGATAAATATTGACAAGGACGTGGAGAAAGGGAATGCTTGTGCACTGTTGGTGGGAATATATATTGGTGCCACCATTATAGAAAACAGTATGGTGATTTCTAAAAAAATAAAATAAAATAAAAACAGAATTAACATGTGACCCAGTAATTCCATCTTCTGCATTTATACCCAAAGGGAATGAAGTCAATACATCATAAAGATACCTGCACTCATGTTCATTGTAGCATTACTAACAATAGCCAAGATAAGGAAAAATCCTGTGTCCATCATTGGACAAATGGATAAAAAAACTGTGGTACATATATATAATAGAATATGATTCCACCCTAAAGGAAGAATGAGATCTTGTCATTTACCACAATATGGATGAGCCTGGAGGACACTGTGCCAAGTGAAATAAGCCAAAAAAAATGAAAATATTGCATGATCTCACTTATACGTGAAATCTAAAAAAAAAATAAATATATAGAGATAGAAAATAATACAGGGATTACAAGGAGCAGGGTAAGGGGAGTGAATGAAGACATGTAGGTAGGAGGATATAAAGTAGCAGATATGTAGGATGAACAGGTCTAGAGATCTAATATACAACATGAGGTCTATAGATATAATAAAATTGTACTGTATATAGAATCTCTGCTCAAGGGGTAGATTCTAGCTGTTCTTACCACAAAAACAAAAAAAGGATAACCATGTGAGATGATGGACATGTTAATTTGAGTCACCATTGTAACCTTTTTACTCTCTACATGTATCTCATAACATGATGTTGTACACCTTATACACAGTACAATTTTTTAAAAACTTTTTAAAAAATGAAGCAATCTATTTACTGTTTTATTGTTTTGCAGGCACTTGTCTGTGTGTAAATGTATTTTATCTAAGTAAATTCCACACACAAAGAACATTTTCAGATTACAGTGTATAAGAGGACATCAAGGTTTATTTGGAGTTTCTTTCATGCATCGCAAATCCTAGATTGCAAACTCCAATAAAGTAAGAAACCTGTTCCTTTTGGTTTGCTTGTGTCTAAGATGTGGCTTAGCATTTACTTTTATTTGCTAAAATAAAGAAACAGATGGTGTGGAAGAGCATCCTAGCCCTCTCTTGGTTGAGTGCTTGCTAGACACAGAACACTGATTATTCTGAACTCTAACTACTAATTGAAAGGGAATCATGACATAGCACTTAGGAAAAGAAGAAAACCAGTATTCAATTGTGTTTGTTTATAAACATCATTATTATTTGATGATTAAAATCACAGATATTACTTCAGTATTTTAATATTAGTCTTATTTTCAAATTAAATTATTGTCATAAACATGGAAATTCCTCTATAAATTGTTGATGGGAGTGCAAATTGGTACAATCTTTTCTTGGAATAATTTGGCAAGATTTATCAAAAGCTTCAAAAATAACCATTAACTTTTTTCCCCAGAAACACCACTTTCAGAATTTACCCTAAGTCATCACATCTATACACAAAAATTCATGTACAAAAATTTTTTAGTGAGTATTGATTATAATAGTAGCAATTTAGAAACATTTGCAATGTCCAACAACAAAAAAATTGTTAATTTTTTAAAAATAGTAAATCTGTAGTTTGGAACACTATATTCTATAAAATTATGGAGTGAAATGCACTATATATACTTAAGGTAGTATTATTAAAGGTTTAATTTTTTAAAATAAATATATGTTTATCCAAACATATACATCAAGATACCAATATCACCACCACCCCCACACCCTGGAGATTTGGTTTATGTATATTGGGAGACAATTTTCCATGGATCTCTTAAATTTCTGCTTATTTTGCAAGTAGAGATACTGACTGCTCATTTTACAGATTATCTTCCCAGGAATATTTGCATTGTGAACAGGGTTGGAAAATAGTGTTTCCCTCTAGAACAATGGGTAGGTTTGTTCACTGTCCAGTTTAATAAAGAGAATGTCTCCCTTCAAGACCAAGTTTAGCCAGGCTATTGCCCATAGAAAGAGATTCAGGTTCCCTAAGCTCAGTATTCCTTTCCTGTAACATAACCCACTGTGTGTATAGGGGCCATCATGCCCCTTTTCTATCATCCCCTGGGAACTGGGGCTCAGGAAATGGTTCAAAACCTGCTGATGCTCTACTGCTGTAATAAACTTTTATCTCTGCTCTAGGAGTCTCATGTCTTCTACCAGTGTCTATAAAACTGCAGCAGGTTAACTTTTCAGCTTGCAAATCTTGACAATATGTATTCTTTTATTTGTGATTTTTATACATTTATAATTAACTATAGTAAACATGAATAATCTTTATAACCAGATGCTTAATGATTTTTTTAAAGAATCTGAAACTCAGATGCAATGTCACAATACTATGCCAACAATAGTATCAGAGGATGCTAGTTTCTCTTGGCAGAATAGCTGAGAATGAGGCAGCTAATGGCATTTTGTCTGTTGGCAAACTGGTCTTCCTGTGTTTGCTTCACATGTCAAGAGCCTTGGAGGGCTCTGCTTTCAACATAGAGCCTGTTAAAATCTCACACAATCCACTGACTTGTCTTTATGAGGTCCATGGGGCAGAGAACTATTCCAACAAAATAACTAGGTCTTTTAGAAAAATGTCAGCTGCATTTTCTGACAGGGAACAGGTGTTTAGTGCATAGGATTTCGAGTCAGGAGCCTGCTGCCTTTAAATATAACTGTCAAGTGATCAGCGTCCGCTGGCAAATTGCACTGGAAATAGAAGCTTTCTTTATACAACAGATGAGACTTTATAGTTGCTGGAGGTTATAAATGTTTGTGAATATGGCTGTGTGTACATATGTTCTCTCATCAGCATCCATTGGAACATAGAAGTAAAGTGTTTATGAAAATGTCCTTATCTGGTGGCAGTTCCATTTCTATAATTTGAAGTGAGATAAAAAGAGTGGAGCGCAATCCTCTAAAGATTTCTTTGGTGTGTATCTCTACTGTACCTTGGTACTCAGAGATGGTGGCTTAAGACAAAAAAAAAAAAAAAGAAGAAAGGAAGAGAGGTTCTCCCCTTACCCCTAAGCCAGTGTGTTATATTCTGAGGAGCAGAAAGGGGAGGGCTGGGACCATGTCTGATTGATTTTAAGGATTTCAGTCTTAGAATAATCAAGCTGGGGCTCTCTTTCCTTTCTAAAAGAATTTTAAGGTAATGATTCCTATGTAAATCCAGCCTATAAGAAGCCCCTTTAGGTAGAAGTTAACACCAACCAATTTGAAAAGTTAATCCATTATAGTTAATCACAAGTAAACCTAATCCAGTTCTATAGCACACAGTTGCCTCCCATTGACTCTTGTAATTTTATACTGGCTTTCCAAACTGGGCTTTCACCCCAGTCTTCTTTCTCATGTCACTCTGGATGTCCATAATTTTCTTGATGACACAGTGGCAAAAGCTATTCGTTCTTTCCAACAACATCCATTTCCACCATCCACCTTAGTAACAAAACTCCAGTTTTATTCAGGATAGCACTGTGTCCAGTTAAAAGACTAGATTTCCCAGTTATTCTTTGCTGTTAGATGTGGCCATCTGACTAATTTCTGATCAATGGGAAAAGGAAATGCTCTGTGGATTCTCTGGGATATTCCTTTAAAAGGCAAGTGCTTCATGCCCCACTCCTCTCTCTTTCTTTCCTTTCTTTTACCGCAGTGATGCAGATGGAACTCCTGCCACAACCTTACATAGTGCAATTATCTTGCAGATGGAAGACAACTAATATGAGCAGAGAGAGAAAGCCCCTGGGTCTCTAATAATTTTATGCTTTTCTCCAGGCTCTCTCCTCTGAACTTTGCTGTTGTTGTTTACATGAAGAAATAAACCCTGAGTGTCCAAGTTACTTCAATAGTTCCTAGATGAGTACTCTAATTCTCACTGATACAGACAGGCTGCCCTCCAATTCGATATTTTTCACAAACTCTTTTTGACAAATGTATCAAGTGAATTGGAAATTTTCAGGTTTTAAAAAAGAAAAAGAACTGGTGTGAGAGATAGAAGAAAAAAAATCTAGGCACTGAATTAGCAAACAGGATTAGGTTGTTTTCAAACAACAAAATTAAAAGGGATTCTGCATTGTTCTGTACTATTGGGAAGCAATGGCTAAATATGTATAAAAAATTGTCTTTTCAATGCTTCCTTTCATTTTTACCCACATGAGAGAGGCACTAAAGTGACTTGAACTGAAGCCTGTCCCACCTTTTCTCAGCTGTGTGGTATGGGACAATTTTCTTCCCCTCTCGATGTTTCCATTTCTTCCTATGAAAACAGCCTTCTTCACAGGCTGTTGTGAAGATTACATGATTTAATACAGATACATGGCCACAGACAGTGACTGGCATATATTGTCACCTATAATTATTGTTGTTCATGTATCTTCTATACTTTTGAGTGTTTCTATAAAATTTCGTGGAGTGATGATCTTTGTTTTGTATCTAACAATGTGACTCTATACTTTAGCAAAAAGAGAAAAATAGGGTGTTTTGTACATTGAAAGTGGGAGTGTGAAATTCAGAGGTAATCAGACTGTCAAGATCATAGAAAAACACTTTTCTCACTTTCTCTCCGAACATCTCCCTCATCTATCACCAACAGTGCCACAAAGTATGATAAAGCTGTTCAAATATCGTAAGAAATAGGCCTCCTTAAGATACTCCTAAATTTTCTCTCTCTCTCTCTTTTTTTTATTTTTTGTTGCGTACAGATCTCAAAACAATAGAATTTGAGGTCCTACAGCAAGTGCAATCTCACTTATCTTCTGCCATTTTGCTTTGGTTTATTACACACTCAAGATTTAAATCTGTCATCTAAATTCTTAAAGATATATTCACATTATTCGATTTGTTTCGACATTTTCATTTTCTTTTAGAGAAAGTCTTATTCATTTCCAGTAGTCTGTAGTTCTATCACTTGTATCTTCAAAAAATGATTCGTGTATTCATTATATTTTTGAATAATAAAAAAATTCTCCAGTATCTCTCAGTGTTCATGTTACCTTGGTTGCTGATCTTGTTCACATAGATCATACACAATAGGAACATATGACAGCTTTTGAGGGCTTTGTTTTTCTTCCCTTAGCTTCACCATCCCTCCCTCTCCCACGTTTATTATGTCACATTTCTAATTCTTTTCCATTAACTTTGATTCTTGATTACTTTTTGGTATTCTTTATTCATCTATGTAGAGATGGTATGTCCTTAGAATTTATTACTGGAATTACCCACAGAAAAGAATGATCTCATGATCTTTTCTCATGATGCTCTTTTTTTATTAGTTCATAATTGAGTATTGCACAGTAATTCCCCTGTGGTTCTTATTCTTACAATTAAGGATCATGGCACTAATTATTTACTTTTCCTTATTTCTTAACAAGCTGGAAATATATTTTGTGTACCCTTAAAGAAAGAGCCATTTAGTGTCTCAGTCAGAATCATAGATTTTAATTAAATGACTTGTTATAAAAATGCTTTCTACATTCTCTATTTAATCTGCCTATCTGCAATGCATTCATAGTTTTCTTATTTCCAAACCATATCTATCAACACTTTTTGCCTCATCATGTCACTCTTTATCTTTCTTTAATCATGACTATTGATCATATTGCTGATGCATCCAAAGATTTCAACCCAAGTTTTTCAGTTTTAATAGATAACATTTCAGTAATGGGAAATGTTTCATCAGTCCTCAAAACCTAGGAAATTTAGAATCTAGCTCTTTTTTCATTATTTCCCAAATTAAATAAACTAGAATCACATTCACAAAGTAAAAATTAAACAGAGGATAAATTTTAAATGAATTTGAATAGTAGCCATTTTTCAATATATTTGGTCACAACAGACTAAAACCATTGAGTTTTAAAAATTCAAATGATTTTTAAACTTTTGGTTTCACTCAAATCCCTCAATAATACTCTTAACAGAATTTCTTATTAATGGAAAATCTGAATGTTTCAAGTTTTACTAAACTCTATTTTCCTTGCTTCTCTAACACTACTTCTGCTACCCTAGTTCTTTCCATGACTTATTATAATTGCCTCTGTTTCTCTCTATAGAAGCTTCTTGTATTCATTGTTGTAACCACAGAAATGGCACATAATAATATTCCAATAAATACTTGCTTAAGGAAAGAAATAAATGAATAAAGCAGAAACATAAAAGACTAGCAAATTTTCTATTAGATAGAAGAAGGGGAGGGGTTATGATTACAAACAATGCTTGCGCATTTAACGTTATTATATAGATACTGAATACTTTATTTTAAAATAAAAATTAAGCATCGGCATTTGTCTCTTGGTAACTTTTAAGACATTCTGCCGTTCCCCGTTTTGAAATCTTTCTGTGTCTTTTTTTGCATTAACATATTAATTTTTGTTCCTGCCAAAGAAGTCATTTGAGATAGGAACATTAGTTTATCGGAGCAGAATTATGTCAATATCACTGTAAAAGAGAAAAGGCTGCATTTCATACAGAACTCCACAAAAAGCCACAATTTACATCCTTTTGAAACTTCTATTATTTGGAACATTTATTAGAATAACAGTAAGCCTGTCAAGATTTTTTAAGCCTTTTAGAGGTTCAGGAACATTCTAATATATATTATTAGATTGAATCCTCACAGCAACCAGGAAGCAGGAACTGGGGAGAAAGGTTAAGCATGACGTCAAAGCAAGCACAGCAATATCTCCATTAGAAAATATGCTTAATTAAGAACAGGTAGATCCGAGCTCTGGTTCCAGTTCTGCCACTAACTACCTTGAGGGATTAACTCAAGTGACTTTACTCCTCTGGGATTTATTTTTTTTTTTCATCTATAAAATAAAGGGCTTGGTTTTTTAAACTCTAGCTCTAAAATTTTGTGCATATTTTATCAAAGAAAATGCATTCCAACCATTCATTTCAAAACCAGAATTCTTATTATCCAAGATAGAAATAACTTGGGAGGCTTAAGTGTCATTCCAAAGGATGAGCTAGCTTCTTTGCACCCTTCAGAAGGGCATCCCACCTTTGCCCACCCCACATGCCCAAGAAAAGAGTGTTGAGTTACCTGATCATATTTCGCATTGGAAATAGTCTTTTGCTGCCTTTCTTTGTCCTCTCTCCTGTTGTTAGTGGTCAATGTGTGACTTCCAGAAAGACATTGGAAAGGGAACACCATGGGAAAAACCTACAAAATGTAAAATTGGGAGGAAAGTGGTAGAAAAATAAAACATCATTGGAAACTAGAAAGAATGCCATCTGTGTGCTAGAAACTTTGATACGTATGGGACTGACTTAAAGGAAACATTGTTAGCTGTCTAATATGCCTGGGAAGTTAGCAGACCAGATGTGTCTTCACATCATCTAAATCAGTAGGGTGAGGTCAGGTCATGGGCAGGTACAGAGGATATAGAAGCAGTAGAGGCTTCTTTTTGAGATGATGGCCAGACATGCTGATAGTATGGAAGGTTCCCTCCAGAAAGGAGTGCTACCCAGAGATAGAAGCACACCTAGCGTATTTAAAACTTGGAGCAAAGCACTTTTTAACACCCTCTTTTCTATGCAACAAAATTACTTGCAGTAATAATCATGAAATAAAATAAATTACAATAATGTCCGGAAAATGTTGAAAATTCCCTTTTATTAAACTTTGTCATATAATTATTCCAGTAAAAAAAAAATGTATTAATTAACAACAAATAAATACTGCAATGCCGAAAGAAAAAATAAATAATGAAGTACTACATATAAATGGAAATAAAACATAGACCTACATATTAGTCTATTACAGTAACGAATGAAAAACAAAGTTTTTGTTTTTAGGCCTTAACTTCTTCAAATTAGTAAATAACATCTTCAAAACTGTTTTTCTTCACATATTTACATTCATAGGCAGTGCAGCCTTGTTAATCTGTCATTGTTCATAGTTGGCCAATATTAAACCTTATATTCATTTTAAGTTCAAAAAGGTATTTCAAATGAAGCAACAGACACACAACTCTTAAACATACAGGTAAGTGTTGCAGATATTTATAAAAATATCATTTTACAATACATTCCAGAGCTTGCAATACCACCCATGTCTTATTTCCTCAGGATCAATTCTGGTAAATCTCAAATCTCTCTTGCAGCCAGAACATTTCCTCGAAAAGAGCTTCACCAGAAAATTCATCACGTTCTGTTTCTTCCAGTTTACAAGCACTGTGCTCTCTTGTTCATGTTATATATACCATTTGAATGCAGGAATACCTAGTTCCTCTGGAGTTGGAAAACCACTCCCCAAGCAAACTCAAATATAGTTAATCTTCGTGGGTTAGAAACTGACTGTATAATTTGGAGTTCTTTGAATTACCTCTCATAGAGAACATAACGTTTATCCAGTGATAAGCAATTTTAAAATGTACAAATTTAAAGCCATGCATCTGTTATTAGAACTCAATAGCTATGGCAATTGTTTAGAATTAGACCAATAAAAGATTTTTTAAGAGAGTATTGTATCATTAACATTGTTTAAACTTCTTGGTACATGATGATAATGAAAAGCAAATCAATGTTTACCAGGTTTTTCTGTTGCTGTTTGTAAATTTTCTACAGTCAATGCATACTCGTACTGCTTGCACCCAGGCTGACCAGAATGACCACCACGCCATGTGTGGTCTGGAAGTCACACACGGTTTCAACCTTTGTAGCTACTCCCACAAGCTCAAAGGCAGCCGAGCCTCAGGGCTTCCCTAGGGATAAGCAAACACCAGCTCTCCAAGACAAGGAAGGAAAATACTGGAGAACTCAGTGTAAAAAGTAAATCTTTTTAATCAAGTTTGTTGTAGGAAACAGGAAATGATTTTTTTCCAAAGATCTTGCTTTCAAGAAAATTTAAAAAGGATACTACAGCTACATTAAGATGTAAAAATGAAGACCACAAAGATGAGAGTCCTTGAAGATCACTTCATGAAAGAGAATGCAGAGCCCAAAATCCAACTGTAGTAGACTGAGAATTTGGTGTATGATAAAAATGGCATTTCAGATCACTGAGAGAAGGGTTATACAATGTGCACTTTAGATATATTCTGTCTGAAATCTTAATGTAAAAGAAATACATGTGATCACATTTTTATTCCACACACAAAAATAAATTCTAGACAGCCTAAAATGTTAAATGTGTAAGAATTAAAACACACACACACACATACAAAATAAGAAAAATATATAAATAAATTTTTATCAGCTTTTAGGTTGAGATAACAATTTAAAGGCATAAAATCAAAGATAGAAACTATAAAAGAAAGAGCTGACAAAGCCAAGAGCATTAAGATTAAGTTTCTTTTTTTTTTTTTAATTTTTTTTTTTTTATTATACTCTAAGTTTTAGGGTACATGTGCACATTGTGCAGGTTAGTTATGTATACATGTGCCATGCTGGTGCGCTGCACCCACTAACATGTCATCTAGCATTAGGTATATCTCCCAATGCTATCCCTCCCCCCTCCCCCGACCCCACCACAGTCCCCAGAGTGTGATATTCCCCTTCCTGTGTCCATGTGATCTCATTGTTCAATTCCCACCTATGAGTGAGAATATGCGGTGTTTGGTTTTTTGTTCTTGCGATAGTTTACTGAGAATGATGGTTTCCAATTTCATCCATGTCCCTACAAAGGACATGAACTCATCATTTTTTATGGCTGCAGAGTATTCCATGGTGTATATGTGCCATATTTTCTTAATCCAGTCTATCATTGTTGGACATTTGGGTTGGTTCCAAGTCTTTGCTATTGTGAATAGTGCCGCAATAAACATACGTGTGCATGTGTCTTTATAGCAGCATGATTTATAGTCATTTGGGTATATACCCAGTAATGGGATGGCTGGGTAAAATGGTATTTCTAGTTCTAGATCCCTGAGGAATCGCCACACTGACTTCCACAATGGTTGAACTAGTTTACAGTCCCACCAACAGTGTAAAAGTGTTCCTATTTCTCCACATCCTCTCTAGCACCTGTTGTTTCCTGACTTTTTAATGATTGCCATTCTAACTGGTGTGAGATGATATCTCATAGTGGTTTTGATTTGCATTTCTCTGATGGCCAGTGATGATGAGCATTTCTTCATGTGTTTTTTGGCTGCATAAATGTCTTCTTTTGAGAAGTGTCTGTTCATGTCCTTCGCCCACTTTTTGATGGGGTTGTTTGTTTTTTTCTTGTAAATTTGTTTGAGTTCATTGTAGATTCTGGATATTAGCCCTTTGTCAGATGAGTAGGTTGCGAAAATTTTCTCCCATGTTGTAGGTTGCCTGTTCACTCTGATGGTAGTTTCTTTTGCTGTGCAGAAGCTCTTTAGTTTAATTAGATCCCATTTGTCAATTTTGTCTTTCGTTGCCATTGCTTTTGGTGTTTTGGACATGAAGTCCTTGCCCACGCCTATGTCCTCAATGGTAATGCCTAGGTTTTCTTCTAGGGTTTTTATGGTTTTAGGTCTAACGTTTAAATCTTTAATCCATCTTGAATTGATTTTTGTATAAGGTGTAAGGAAGGGATCCAGTTTCAGCTTTCTACATATGGCTAGCCAGTTTTCCCAGCACCATTTATTAAATAGGGAATCCTTTCCCCATTGCTTGTTTTTCTCAGGTTTGTCAAAGATCAGATAGTTGTAGATATGCGGCATTATTTCTGAGGGCTCTGTTCTGTTCCATTGATCTATATCTCTGTTTTGGTACCAGTACCATGCTGTTTTGGTTACTGTAGCCTTGTAGTATAGTTTGAAGTCAGGTAGTGTGATGCCTCCAGCTTTGTTCTTTTGGCTTAGGATTGACTTGGCGATGCGGGCTCTTTTTTGGTTCCATATGAACTTTAAAGTAGTTTTTTCCAATTCTGTGAAGAAAGTCCTTGGTAGCTTGATGGGGATGGCATTGAATCTGTAAATTACCTTGGGCAGTATGGCCATTTTCACGATATTGATTCTTCCTACCCATGAGCATGGAATGTTCTTCCATTTGTTTGTGTCCTCTTTTATTTCCTTGAGCAGTGGTTTGTAGTTCTCCTTGAAGAGGTCCTTCACATCCCTTGTAAGTTGGATTCCTAGGTATTTTATTCTCTTTGAAGCAATTGTGAATGGGAGTTCACTCATGATTTGGCTCTCTGTTTGTCTGTTGTTGGTGTATAAGAATGCTTGTGATTTTTGTACATTGATTTTGTATCCTGAGACTTTGCTGAAGTTGCTTATCAGCTTAAGGAGATTTTGGGCTGAGACGATGGGGTTTTCTAGATAAACAATCATGTCGTCTGCAAACAGGGACAATTTGACTTCCTCTTTTCCTAATTGAATACCCTTTATTTCCTTCTCCTGCCTGATTGCCCTGGCCAGAACTTCCAACACTATGTTGAATAGGAGCGGTGAGAGAGGGCATCCCTGTCTTGTGCCAGTTTTCAAAGGGAGTGCTTCCAGTTTTTGCCCATTCAGTATGATATTGGCTGTGGGTTTGTCATAGATACCTCTTATTATTTTGAAATACGTCCCATCAATACCTAATTTATTGAGAGTTTTTAGCATGAAGGTTGTTGAATTTTGTCAAAGGCTTTTTCTGCATCTATTGAGATAATCATGTGGTTTTTGTCTTTGGCTCTGTTTATATGCTGGATTACATTTATTGATTTGCCTATATTGAACCAGCCTTGCATCCCAGGGATGAAGCCCACTTGATCATGGTGGATAAGCTTTTTGATGTGCTGCTGGATTCGGTTTGCCAGTATTTTATTGAGGATTTTTGCATCAATGTTCATCAAGGATATTGGTCTAAAATTCTCTTTTTTGGCTGTGTCTCTGCCTGGCTTTGGTATCAGAATGATGCTGGCCTCATAAAATGAGTTAGGGAGGATTCCCTCTTTTTCTATTGATTGGAATAGTTTCAGAAGGAATGGTACCAGTTCCTCCTTGTACCTCTGGTAGAATTTGGCTGTGAATCCATCTGGTCCTGGACTCTTTTTGGTTGGTAAACTATTGATTATTGCCACAATTTCAGAGCCTGTTATTGGTCTATTCAGAGATTCAACTTCTTCCTGGTTTAGTCTTGGGAGAGTGTATGTGTCCAGGAATTTATCCATTTCTTCTAGATTTTCTAGTTTATTTGCGTAGAGGTGTTTGTAGTATTCTCTGATGGTAGTTTGCATTTCTGTGGGATCGGTGGTGATATCCCCTTTATCATTTTCTATTGTGTCTATTTGATTCTTCTCTCTTTTTTTCTTTATTAGTCTTGCTAGCAGTCTATCAATTTTGTTGATCCTTTCAAAAAACCAGCTCCTGGATTCATTGATTTTTTGAAGGGTTTTTTGTGTCTCTATTTCCTTCAGTTCTGCTCTGATTTTAGTTATTTCTTGCCTTCTGCTAGCTTTTGAATGTGTTTGCTCTTGCTTTTCTAGTTCTTTTAATTGTGATGTTAGGGTGTCAATTTTGGATCTTTCCTGCTTTCTCTTGTAGGCATTTAGTGCTATAAATTTCCCTCTACACACTGCTTTGAATGCGTCCCAGAGATTCTGGTATGTTGTATCTTTGTTCTCGTTGGTTTCAAAGAACATCTTTATTTCTGCCTTCATTTCGTTATGTACCCAGTAGTCATTCAGGAGCAGGTTGTTCAGTTTCCATGTAGTTGAGCGGCTTTGAGTGAGATTCTTAATCCTGAGTTCTAGTTTGATTGCACTGTGGTCTGAGAGATAGTTTGTTATAATTTCTGTTCTTTTACATTTGCTGAGGAGAGCTTTACTTCCCAGTATGTGGTCAATTTTGGAATAGGTGTGGTGTGGTGCTGAAAAAAATGTATATTCTGTTGATTTGGGGTGGAGAGTTCTGTAGATGTCTATTAGGTCTGCTTGGTGCAGAGCTGAGTTCAATTCCTGGGTATCCTTGTTGACTTTCTGTCTCGTTGATCTGTCTAATGTTGACAGTGGGGTGTTAAAGTCTCCCATTATTAATGTGTGGGAGTCTAAGTCTCTTTGTAGGTCACTCAGGACTTGCTTTATGAATCTGGGTGCTCCTGTATTGGGTGCATAAATATTTAGGATAGTTAGCTCTTCTTGTTGAATTGATCCCTTTACCATTATGTAATGGCCTTCTTTGTCTCTTTTGATCTTTGTTGGTTTAAAGTCTGTTTTATCAGAGACTAGGATTGCAACCCCTGCCTTTTTTTTTTGCTTTCCATTTGCTTGGTAGATCTTCCTCCATCCTTTTATTTTGAGCCTATGTGTGTCTCTGCACGTGAGATGGGTTTCCTGAATACAGCACACTGATGGGTCTTGACTCTATCCAATTTGCCAGTCTGTGTCTTTTAATTGCAGAATTTAGTCCATTTATATTTAAAGTTAATATTGTTATGTGTGAATTTGATCCTGTCATTATGATGTTAGCTGGTGATTTTGCTCATTAGTTGATGCAGTTTCTTCCTAGTCTCGATGGTCTTTACATTTTGGCATGATTTTGCAGCGGCTGGTACCGGTTGTTCCTTTCCATGTTTAGCGCTTCCTTCAGGAGCTCTTTTAGGGCAGGCCTGGTGGTGACAAAATCTCTCAGCATTTGCTTGTCTATAAAGTATTTTATTTCTCCTTCACTTATGAAGCTTAGTTTGGCTGGATATGAAATTCTGGGTTGAAAATTCTTTTCTTTAAGAATGTTGAATATTGGCCCCCACTCTCTTCTGGCTTGTAGGGTTTCTGCCAGGAGATCCGCTGTTAGTCTGATGGGCTTTCCTTTGAGGGTAACCCGACCTTTCTCTCTGGCTGCCCTTAACATTTTTTCCTCATTTCAACTTTGGTGAATCTGACAATTATGTGTCTTGGAGTTGCTCTTCTCGAGGAGTATCTTTGTGGCGTTTTCTGTATTTCCTGAATCTGAACGTTGGCCTGCCTTGCTAGATTGGGGAAGTTCTCCTGGATAATATCCTGCAGAGTGTTTTCCAACTTGGTTCCATTCTCCCCGTCACTTTCAGGTACACCAATCAGACGTAGATTTGGTCTTTTCACATAGTCCCATATTTCTTGGAGGCTTTGCTCATTTCTTTTTATTCTTTTTTCTCTAAACTTCCCTTCTCACTTCATTTCATTCATTTCATCTTCCATTGCTGATACCCTTTCTTCCAGTTGATCGCATCGGCTCCTGAGGCTTCTGCATTCTTCATGTAGTTCTCGAGCCTTGGTTTTCAGCTCCATCAGCTCCTTTAAGCACTTCTCTGTATTGGTTATTCTAGTTATACATTCTTCTAAATTTTTTTCAAAGTTTTCAACTTCTTTGCCTTTGGTTTGAATGTCCTCCCGTAGCTCAGAGTAATTTGATCGTCTGAAGCCTTCTTCTCTCAGCTCGTCAAAATCATTCTCCATCCAGCTTTGTTCTGTTGCTGGTGAGGAACTGCGTTCCTTTGGAGGAGGAGAGGCGCTCTGTGTTTTAGAGTTTCCAGTTTTTCTGTTCTGTTTTTTCCCCATCTTTGTGGTTTTATCTACTTTTGGTCTTTGATGATGGTGATGTACAGATGGGTTTTTGGTGTAGATGTCCTTTCTGGTTGTTAGTTTTCCTTCTAACAGACAGGACCCTCAGCTGCAGGTCTGTTGGAATACCCTGCCGTGTGAGGTGTCAGTGTGCCCCTGCTGGGGGGTGCCTCCCAGTTAGGCTGCTCGGGGGTCAGGGGTCAGGTGTCAGGGACCCACTTGAGGAGGCAGTCTGCCCGTTCTCAGATCTCCAGCTGCGTGCTGGGAGAACCACTGCTCTCTTCAAAGTTGTCAGACAGGGACACTTAAGTCTGCAGAGGTTACTGCTGTCTTTTTGTTTGTCTGTGCCCTGCCCCCAGAGGTGGAGCCTACAGAGGCAGGCAGGCCTCCTTGAGCTGTGGTGGGCTCCACCCAGTTCGAGCTTCCCGGCTGCTTTGTTTACCTAAGCAAGCCTGGGCAATGGCGGGCGCCCCTCCCCCAGCCTCGTTGCCGCCTTGCAGTTTGATCTCAGACTGCTGTGCTAGCAATCAGCGAGATTCCGTGGGCGTAGGACCCTTTGAGCCAGGTGTGGGATATAGTCTCGTGGTGCGCCATTTCTTAAGTTGGTCTGAAAAGCGCAATATTCGGGTGGGAGTGACCCGATTTTCCAGGTGCGTCCGTCACCCCTTTCTTTGACTCAGAAAGGGAACTCCCTGACCCCTTGCGCTTCCCAGGTGAGGCAATGCCTCGCCCTGCTTCGGCTCGCGCACGGTGCGCACACACACGGGCCTGCGCCCACTGTCTGGCACTCCCTAGTGAGATGAACCCGGTACCTCAGATGGAAATGCAGAAATCACCCATCTTCTGCGTCGCTCACGCTGGGAGCTGTAGACCGGAGCTGTTCCTATTCGGCCATCTTGGCTCCACATTCCTAATTATCAGGAAGTGTCATTATCAGCACCGCAGTGTTGAGAGGTGACAGCGTGCTGGCAGTCCTCACAGCCCTCACTCGCTCTCGGCGCCTCCTCTGCCTGGGCTCCCACTTTGGCGGCACTTGAGGAACACTTCAGCCCACCGCTGCATTGTGGGATCCCCTTTCTGGGCTGGCCAAGGCCGGAGCCTGCTCCCTCAGCTTGCAGGGAGGTATCAAGTTTCTATACTTTAAAACAAATCATAAATGGAATTAAAAAGTAAATGACATCCTGGAAAAAAACATACATTGGGTTATATATGGGTGATAAAGAGCTTTCAAAAGTCAGTAAGAAAAACATAATAATAAAAATACTGAATGAAAAACAAACAAAGAACATGAAAGGCGATTCGCAAAAACAGAAATGTGAATTTTCAAAAAAAAGTTCAACATTATTATAAAAAGGAAAACAAGTAATTAGAACAACAGCAAAATGTTTTACTCCTTAATTTGGAATTTATGTTCTATCTATCTAATGTTGACAAGGGATTGGGAAAATATGTATTATTTGACAGAGCACAACACATAAATCACTCTTTTGGGAAGTTATAATTGCAGTACAATTTAAAAGCTTTAGATATAAAACTTGCGACTTCACTTCTAGGAATGTACATATCAAAATAATTAGATATGTATACAAGATTTATGTACAAAAATCTTCATTGCTCTTATTTTTAATATAAATATAGAAATAATAATAAAATAAACATAGAAATAATAATTTCAAGAAAAAAATCTTGAGAGAAGAATGATTAAATAGATTACACTCTATTTGGTAATAAAATACCATAGAGTCATTAGGAAAAGAAGCAAAAAACACAGTATTGAAGCATATTATTATATTTTAAAATGTTTATAATAGTAGTAAGTGGATAAGGCAGGATACAAAAGTTTATCCAAGATTATTTCAATTTTTAATAAACTACATGATTCCTTTTTAAATACTGGCCATTTTAGGTATTAGGATTATGCCTTTTTTCCTCCTCTGCAATTACTTATATTTTGTTCATGCTCTACAACAATTGTGTAGTATTTTCATAAACCAAAATAAAACAACCAGGTAATTAGAAGGAAAAATTATTAGTTAGGCATTATGGCACACACCTATAGACCCAGCTACTCGGGAGGCTGAGGTGAGAGGATTGCTTGAGCCCAGGAGTTTGAGGGGGCAGTGAGCAATGATGGGTGCCACTGCACTCCAGCCTGAGCAACAGAGCCAGACCCTGTCTTAAAAAATAAAATAAAATGAAACTTGGGATAATTAAATTGCCTATGGCCCCCACTTCTCCCTCCTTCTTACGGACAACTACTTCTTTATTGAAATCTTTACAGAGGGGACAGGAGGCAGTTTTCCCTATGGTCTCCTTCCCTCCCAGGCCAAGTACACTCAAGGTTTTGTTCCTAGTGATTTGTTAGTCAAGTCATGATGTAAGATGACATGATTTACACTATCTCATCAACTAGGTGCTCCAATGAGATAAGACCTTGTTACAGGTTAAGCGTGTCCCTGCAAAATTCATGTGTTGAAGTCCTAATCCCCAGTACCTAAGAATGCGACCTTATTTGGAAACAGGATAGTTCCAGATGTAATTAGTTAAGATGAGGTCATTCTGGGGTAGGGTAGGCCCATAATCCATTTTGATTGATGTCCTTATAAAAGGGAAAATTTGGACACAGAGACATGCACAGAGTGAAGACAATGTGAAGCCCTACAGGGAAAACACCATGTGAAGATGAAGGCAGAGATTAAGATGATGCCTTTAGAAGTCAAGGAATGCCGAAGATTGTCACAAGCCAACAAAACCCAGGGAAGAGGCATGGAGCCATTTTCCTTCTAGCAGTCAAATTAACCTCACAGCCTTCAGAAAGAACCAACGCTGCTGACACCTTGATCTCAGACTTCTAGAATTGTATCATCTCCAGAACTGTGAGACAATACATTTCCGTTGTTGAAGATACCCATTTTGTGGTACTTTGTTATGGCAGTCCTAGGAAACTAATACAAACCCAAGAATTTTTGACACTTTGATCAGGAACCTGTTTCTCTAAAGGTTGAAACCACATGGGAGGGCAATTACTGTTTAGTGCAGGGGTAATCACTTTAAGTCCTTTCTGCCTTGACAAATGTAAAGCACAAATCCCACTCTATGATGAAGAGACCCAGGATCAAGAGGCTAAAGCCCTCTGCAAAATAACAGTAAGATGGTCTTCACTAGGGATCAAATTGTACACTGTGGATCTTTTTCACAAAGAGGCTTGCATTTTTTTTCTTTGGTGGCTGGGGTGGGCTCCTGATAGGGGAGAAACAATTAGAGGAGAGTAACTTTGGGAACGAGAAGTCTGTATCTTCAGGTACCCAGGCTGCAGACCACAGGCTGGGGACAAAAGGTGATATTTGTTGTTGGGGCTTGCATTATGAACTGAGAATGACTATAGTTTCCAGTTTTATTCTCTCTGAGTTTGAAATCTCTTCTGTTATCCCCAAGCCTTCAGAAAAAATCTTCTTAAGAATTATAGATTCACTTAACACCATGGGGAATCTGAGGCCAGACAATGTAATCTGCATTGGGGAAATGAGAAAGAAGTTCCAGACTGTTCAGAGATTCCAGTCTCAAGACAGCACAGGGTGACACGCACAAAAGCCATGCTGTGGTCTAGAGACCCTTGGTTGACTAAAGTGGCAGGTGGCAACAAGGACGGATTTGGGAAGCACATCAGCTTTCTCTGGGGTTACTCAGAAAACTACTGGGGAATAAAATTGTTAAAAAAAAAAAAGCTGGACTTTCTGACTGCTGGCAGGATGGGACTTACACATTGTTTTTTAGGTACGTGATGTGCAGCTTCAAAACTGAGCAAGTCTAGGACTCCCTTCTTTTGAACACTGTGCCAAATGCCTAGATTTTTGAAAAGCTCATTGTTTCAGCATTTCAACTTCTTTCCATAGATTTGGTATCAGATCTGCAAAGTTACAGAAACAATAGTATTTCTCTAATATTTTGGATTGTGGGTTTATTCTAAAATACTGTTTCTTATTAACAAAAAATATAAGGTTGGCCAAAATGATAATTAGTATTTGTCCAGGCAGTGCTCATTTTTTCTGGTGAAATAGCTATGACTTGAATAGGTTCGTGTCTCTATCTCCCCAGCCACAGCTCTAGTAAAAGTCACCCTAATCTTTGATATAGACTCTCTGAATCTTCCTTTATTCTCCTTCAATCCATTTTCCATCTAGCAGTAAATTAACTGAAAATGCTAATTTAACCTTATAATCGCTCACTTAAAATTCTTCAGTATTTTCCCCAGGAAAAAGAATCAGATTTGTCAGCCTGGCCTGTAAGACTCAACAACTTGGTGCAGCCTCTATCTTCAGCTTTGTCTGTCGCTCTGTCAGGGGAATTCTTTCCCCACCTGGCCTAATTCCTAATTTTCTTTCAGGTCTGAAATTTAATGTCACTTATTCACTGATCCTGAATCTAAATCAGTTGCCTTAATCATCACGCTCTTTAATTTCTTCAATTACATGTATACTTTCTAATTATATATTAATGTGATCATTTATTTGTATAATGCTGATCCCCCATTTTTAAGAATAATAGCGTTTAGATTGTTTTCTATTAGGCTGTATTCTATCCCCAGATCTAACAGAATTTCTAGTATCTTGTAGGTGCTCAATACTTGATGAAAGAGAAGGTAGATGCCCTTAAAATAGTGCTTGAATTGTGTCTTAAAGAAAACATTCAAAGATAATTCTTTTTTCAATGCAAAGGTTTTTTTTTTTTTTTCAGCAGGAGTAAAATCTGTCTACCTGGTTAAAGATGGCAAATATAGCAGATTTTTCAGCCTAAATTTTTTCACCTTCTCAGAAGCTAACCTTGCAAAACTTCTTAACACAGCCACAATTTTGATAAGAATGCCTGGGAATCTATGATAATGATACACTTGACTGAAAGATGTCCAGAATAATTGTTTCTTCCACTTCTAGACCTTGCTTGGGCATGATTTGATAGTTCATTCTTCAGCTTTAAATAAGCACCAGTCTCTCTTTTTTCCATTTCTTTTTTCCCTGAAAGAAAGCATAATCCCTTGGCCTCACTCTGATGCCAACTAGGTACTTTGACTCTGGCCTCCAGTTTCCTCATCTGTCAAATGTGGATAATACCCCACTCCCTAACTGACAGCTGTTTTGAGAATCAAGTGATCAGTTATTGAAAGTACGTTAAAAAAAACACTCTTATAACACAGCAAAATGTTAATTACAGAACTGTTCAATAAATATTTACAACTGCTAATATGCGTAGCCAAATGGTGTATTTCCCAAGAGTTTATGTAATTAAGTGTCACTAGTGTTTATATTTGCATACATACACCTGTCAGTAAGTGTCAACCTGTGGCCAATATGATGGGAAGTCTAGGAAGAAAAGAGGAAAGAAAAGAGCAAAACAACCCCACAAACTAAGTTAGATTAATAAAATAGAAACAATGAATTTGTTAAGGTAGAAATAAATTACCAACTCCAGTTTTATGTATATTATTTCTAAAGTTTATGCAAGTTCCCTTATATATAGCCTTAGTTTTCAATTTTGACAATTTTATTTTGACAAGCAATAAGTAATACTGAAACATTTTAAACTATCGTTACATTTAATCTTCTTCCTAAACTCCTTGTTTCTTTGGCAGTAAAGACATAAATTGTCATTGCCTATTCCTATTTACTTTGAAGTACAACATTCTTTATGCTTAGCTAATCTAAATCAACCATGTAATGTAGCCCCTTTGAGTAATAATTATACCTGAAATATGTACCTGAGTAAAAGAAAGGCAAACATCTCAATTCCAGCTTCTTTTCATTTAGTTTTATGATAACTGATTTATGTATTTCTTGGGTCTTCTATTCAACAGGAATAAACCTCTCTGCCTCTCAGGATATTTGCAAATATATGCCTATGAATTATCTAGTTCCCACTTCACACACCCATAATTTTTATTTTTAATAAATTAGTATAAAGTACATGTTACATATCATTATTTGTCACTATATTACCATAATAAATGGATTATTAAGTCAACTTACAAATAATCAGATTAAATTTTAGTAAACAGCACTCTAAATGTGCTGCCAAGTATTCTATAAAAGCAATTTCACTTCAGCACCTATGTCAAAAAATGTCCTATGTCCTCACAATATTTTTACACATTGTAATAAGAAATTTTTCACATCATCATCAATAACCTAGAAAATTAATATTGATAAAGGCATTTTATGCTTATTGGGAAAACAGTTCTCCATTGGGCCATAAAATGAAATTCTAGGTCAGTTTCAAGGTTTTGTTCATTCTTTAATAAGAGTATTAAAGGTATAAATCTTCTGCAAAATGTTAAAATGAGATTTCATTTTGTTCATAGTTGTTTCTGACACTAAGAAGCCAAGCAGTAGGATGATTCATCAGGGCAATTTACTTCGTGTATGAGAATGTCCTCTATGACAGCAATGGGGCTCAGGGCAGGGGAGAAACTTGTGTGTTTACCTATCGAAACCATTGTGTTCCCAGCCACCATTCTCTCTCTCTCTCTCTCTCACACACACACACACACTCTCTCGCTCTCTCTCTTTCTCTCTCATTAATCAGCTTGGATGACCTAACAACAGTAATACCAAACACCCCTTTGTTATACCACCTTTTCTCCCCCTTTCCCACTATCCTGCTTGACTGAAAGAGACATCTTCGTGTGTGTGCAGTGAAAGAAAGAGAGACACTGTCCCTTTTCCAGAATACAGTCACAATTGAGAGTCATGTTCTGAGTATAAAGACATGACTAAAATTCTCCTAGTACAATCAGCACACACTTTTTTTTTGGCTTTAAAGCCAATTCTATACTTCTGGAACCTATCAGGGATCATATTTATTAAAATAAGACATATCCATTGTTAAAATGTGTTATGTATAACACAATATATACAAAAAAGTAAATAGCATGATCTTACAACCAAAAGGAAAAAACTGAAAATTTTCTTGATCTATAAATGGTGAGTACAAATATTCACAGTACAAAATATATGCTATATATTTTTAAAATATTATTTCTTATGTCAAAATAATCATTTCATCTGTACACAAGAACTTAATCTTATTCAATTCAATGTAAACTCATTCTAATCACAATTTATGGAGTCCCTGCAGTATTTTCTAGATAAATTAAAATTTTGCAGTCAATTAGGTTCTCCCCCTCTAGAATTGTACCCAGGTTTTGGTTCAGCTCAAGTGGCACCACATTGGGGAGGATATGGGTCCTTTCCCAGATCATCTGTTCACACTGCACTTTGTTTGCATTTATTCTTGTTAATCTTTAATGAGACATTCCATATGCCATCTGGACTCCCTTAGATCGTGGCTTCTACACCCACCTCTTTCCAACAACAAGATTTTTGATTCTCTAGATCTCTTTTAGCTACATCCATACCCTGTAATTGAAGAACAGGAAAGACAAATGGCTACTCTCCTGAAATTGTAGAGCTGCCTTGAAATCCACCTGCCCAGGTAACTTGTGTGGTCATTGCTACTCAATATCGTAGAAATTATACAGAACACAGGCTGGGTGCCATGACTCATGCCTGTAATCCCAGCACTTTGGGAGGCCAAGGCAGGCAGATTCCTAGCCCAGGAGTTTGAGACCAGCCTGAGCAACATGATGAAACCCCATCTCTACAAAAAATACAAAAACAGCCAGGTGTGGTGGCACGTGCCTGTAGTCCCAGCTATGTGCGAGGCTGAGGTGGGAGGATCGCTTGAGCCCAGTAGGTAAGGCTTCAGTGAGCTGAGATCGTGCCACTGTACTCCAGCCTGGGTGACAGAGGGAAACCATGGGAAGGAAGGAAGGAAGGAAGAAAGGAAGGAAGGAAGGAAGGGAGGGAGGGAGGGAGGGAGGGAGGGAAAAAAGAAGGAAGGAAGGAAGGAGGGAAGGAAGGAAGGAAGGAAGGAAGGAAGGAAGGAAGGAAGGAAGGAAAGGAAACAGAATACAGGACTTCTCTACAAGGCTTCCCAAATCTCCACTCACCATCTGAAACACAAGACACAGGTCCCCTCGGTGTCCTGCACTTTCCTCCCTCAAGTGTAGTTGGAGGTTCTAGAACTCTATTCACTTATATCTCAGTTTCAGGTTACGGAACTGAGCTTTGAACTTTCTTTGTTTTAGAAAATTGCATTGATATAGTGTTACTCTCTTGTGATATTGTGTTGATATGACATTACTCTCTTAGGAGACAGTAATTTTCTAAAACAAAGTCATATTCTCTCAAGTTTTCCTCCCCTAACTTGGACAATCCCTACCTAATCTCCAGGGATAGACTCCTATCATATTTCCAAACTATTAATTATAGCAGAAACTAGATGTCTTTTGGGATTAGCCTTTTAAAAATAGAGCATTCCAACCCTTACAGGTCAAAAGCCCTGGATTTCAAGAATCTGTCTCTGCTATGAGTCTCAAGAGCCTATTTTGTAACTCAGAAGCCAAGGTATTTATCCTCTACATTCGATATAATCTCTCCCCTGAGACAGTGCATATTAATGAATTAATAGGGGAAAGGTCACAGCAAAGAAAGAAATAGATTGGATTGTGGAGAGAAGAATTTCAGTTAAATTATAGATTTCTATGTATGTAACCTATCTATCTATCCATCTATCTTATCTATGTATCTATCTAATCCATCTAGCTAGCTACCTATCTACCTACCTACTTATCTATCTTTCCAGTTAGCTTTTTTTTTTGGTCTAGAAAGTTCAAGTATATCCGTTTCTTTTATTTCTTAGAATTCTATAATTTTCCCCACTTCTTTTGAAGCTCTACTTCAGTAAACATTTGGAACATGTCTTCTACCCTCACTATTAGAATTATTCCATTTACCAGTTGACTGGGTACTTTGTTTATTTCCAAAATCAAATCGTAGAGTTTCCAAATCATATGGAAGGTGTACAATGTTTCAAAGGCAAAAATTTATTGTTTCCTAACAGATTTGAACATCAGAATAGGTTCTTTGTTCTTGCCACTAGTTTGGGAGTGCCTGTAGCTCACACTGACAAAATTATTCCAAAAGTCAAATGTAATATCTGAAGTGTATTTGGACATAAAACCTCTTAGGCATTTGTCAAAAAATTACAATAAAATTCTTCAGTGCCCCTCATTAATACTTTTTTCAATCTTCTTGCTAACCTCTTCCTCGATAATCATCAGGCAGACTGACTGGGTTCTGCAAACTTTTTCTGTGCAGAGCCAGATAATAATTTTTGAGGGGCTTTGCATACTGTACGATCTCTGTCACAACTAGTCAACTCTTCTTGGTATCACAAAAGTTGCCATAGAAAATACATTAATGAACGAATGTGACTATGTCCCAATTAAACTTTATTTACAAAAAAATGTGGGCCAAATTTGACTTACAATTCACAGTTTGCTGTGAATTGTTTTAGACTATCTGGTCCCCATCTTAATATGTCCTCCCTTTTCAATTCATTCCATATTATCTTCTTAATAATCTTTAAGGGGCACAGCCTCCCCTGCTGACATGACACAAATTAACTAAAAACCTATTTCTCAATCTGGCATTTAAGATTCTCTACCATGTGACTATTAGAGAGGGAAAGGAAGCTGGGACCAAACAGAAGGAAGTGTCAAGAAATCTAATCTAACCATGCATTCTGGCTCTGGTGAGGACAAGCAAACAGCCTGAGGAACATTTTCAAAAGATACAGACACTTTGGGCATAAAACGGAGCAGTATCAGTGCCCACTCACATTTCTGCTAATACCAGACACCAGACGGGCAGATCCAGAGGGTTGGGAAACACTAGCTGGCCAGGCGACATTATTCACAGTTTGTTTCTGTTAAAGGCCCTCAGCCAAGAGTATAAGGGGATGGGACAGGCTATTGCACAGTCCATGAGCCAGGCACTTGGCAGGTCTATTACCAGATTCGGTCAAACCAAAGCTTTGTTTCTGGACATCCAGATATCATCCAAGTAGCTAGAGGGATGGCAGAATAAGGGACGGGGTATGTGCATAATAAGCCAAGGAACTATACCAACTGGGGAGCTGGGAGCAAAGAGAATCGCAGTTCTATCATAGAGCAGACAATGTAAAAATCTATTCAAGATAATGAAATTGGTCATTGTGCCATAAAGGGAAGGTTTCCTCCTGCTCAGAATAGCCTCCCCAGAAAATGCCTCAATTAGGTAAGTCATTTCAGAGGCTCTGTACTCTATAATCAATGTGCAATGCCCCCTTCTTGATAGTGCTCAGAGAAACAAGTGGTGAGAGGCTGAATGACCCTAACTAAAATGTGCCCAAGACTAGAGTATACTTGTAACTCCTGACTTGAAAAATTCAATGAGTATAAGTGCCATGCTGAGCAGAACAGTTGCATCAGCAAATATTAAAATGTGGCTGGACTTTAAAAGAAATCAAATAATATTCCATACCACTTTATTAAGTCATCTTGAAAAATTACTGTCATAGCACCAATGACCAGTGATATTTATCATGTACATGAGTAGTAAATATTTGCCTGTAGAGAGAACTAAATGGAAAATCAAATCATAAATAGATGGTAACTAGGTAAGTGTGGAATTAGTAGAAAGATGATTTGATGTATAAACTGTTCAAGGGCATTGTGCTAAGATAACATGAAACATACCCACTTGTCCATAGAAATATTATTGTTGTGAATGGATCCAGAACATGCTGTTTTCATTGCCTACAATTAATTGCATTTCTCATCACAAAAGGGACACCTTTCTTGGTAAGGGAAGCATTTGAGTTTCAAAGGAATATTTAGCAGTATTCATTCCCTTGGCTATTCCTGAGTTGGCATTGCCAACATTTATTTCCCTGAAACTCTCCATTTTCTATATTTCCATTACTGGCTAACCCTTATTTACATAGATAACAGTCTTTATTCAAGTGAATTAATATGGACAATTGAGTTGCAATCAAATCCTTTCAACATGGGAACCATTCTTTACCTTTCCCAATACTTTGCTTATCTCTGCTCTGGTTTTTTACCCAAAGTTTAACTCTCAAGGAATATTCTATTTAATTTCCAAGATAGTAAAAGTCCTTACATGCTGCCAATAGGAAATGTATAAATAGAAAGTACAGAAGCACACAAAGGCATACACATAGACACATTGGATTCCTCATCTGGTTAATGGAATGGAGATTTGAAAGCCCAGCTGTTGGATGCCAGATCAGTGGATCTTGTTAAAGTAATTTAATTCCCAGACTCACTACACCAAGGTCTATTTCCTGCCTCAATTAGTATTGGCTTAGGAACAGATGTGAGACTAAACCTGTAGGGGTAATTGGTGGCAGGAGGCTAGATGAGGGTATGGAGGTCGTACATCAGAAGATTCAGCTCCTTGCAGCTGGCGAAAGTAGTGATACTATAGCACAGAAGGGTGGCTATGAAGCAGAACAGGGGCTCCCAATGGGAAGATGAGGAGAAGTAATTGTCTAAGTGAGGATGAAGGGAAACTAGATAAGCTCTGTTGAACAGTTTGGATTAGTAGAAAGACAGGGTGGCAAACCAGAAAAGGAAACTGGGAGAATATGGCACTAAGTGCTTATGAACAGACTATTTAGTATTCTGAGGTCTTCACCTGTGGGTTGCTTAACCATGCTCAAGTCCTGATGCTGACCAGCTCATTTGAAAAATGGGGTCAATAAAATGACCTCACAGGGTTGTCGTAAGGAGTAAATGAGAGAGTATGTATAAAGTGCTTAGGATAATATCTAACACATGGACTACATGATTAAAGCTAGTTTCTTCTCCTCTAGTGTAGGAAGTTCTTATCTTGGAGTCCATGGCCCCAGGGAGAATCACAATTGGGTGAGAAGACACGTGCAAACCCCTTTCGATAGTTTACAAAAATGTGTATGTGCATGTAAGTGCATGTGTACCTTTCTAAGATTTATGTCTTCCATCCAATTTTCAAGAATGCTCATGATTGGAATAAAGATTGAGAAGCATTGTCCTGGTACACAATGGCAAGAGATGATTTCCAAATCTCACTTACTAGTCAGGGAAAATGTGATCCTACTACGTGAACAGGCCAGTTTCCTATTGATTCAAACTGGGCAGGGCTGTATCTCAGGAAACTGTCTTTTAATTCTGACAGCTGGACATGACAACGGTGCTGGGATTGAACAGTAATCACAGAGCAAAGAATTTTTTGGTTGACTCAATTCCATGCTTAGATCTGTACTTGCATTGAAACTTTCCTCTCCTTTTTGCTTTCCTGCCATTATTAACCAAATTGTCCTCATGATTGGTGCCTGTCTTTCTATTCCAGGACAACAAATGCTACCATACTTATTCTGAGTCTTCCTGGTCAGAAACCAAGAAGATAGTCATTGCAACAAAAATACACAGCTTTCAGACATTCTCTTCCTGCTACTCAGATTGTCACGGGATACTTGGGGTGTTGCTTCACCAGCTGGAAACCTCTGTGGCTGGTGGTACCTTCTGCCTGAGTATTGCTCATGCCTGGTGGGCTCGCTTTGCCCACTCATCCTGGAAGGCTGCACTCGGCTCATGCTATCAGCCTGGATTCCATACCTGCCAAGGGCAAGCCAGGCTCGGATCAGTGAGGGGTGTGTGGGCAAGTGAGCATGGGGTTCAGCCACAGCGCACAGGCAGGCACACTGGCTGCTGCGGCAGGGTGGGCAGCTTCAGGCACTGCAGCTGAACCAGATGTACTACATGCAGCTTCTGTTGTGGGCACCCATGCCTGGACAAGGGGAATGCAGTGGTGCCTGGAAACTTGGAGATGCCAGGAACCACAGAGCCTCAAAGACAGTATCATCATAGCCCTAACTTGGGGAGCCCCTAGGTCTGGGCTTCCCTAAGGGCGGCAACTCTTTTCTCCTTCCCGTCGCTCACAACATGGTGAGTGGCAGGTCATGTTTCAGCCCTGTTTGTGTTATAGCCCTTTCAGTCCTGCCATTCAGCAGGTCCTGAGTTCTTGTCCCACATCCAGGAAGAATGAGGTACATGGACAACTGGAGGGTAAACAAGGTGGAGAGAAGCTTCATTGAGTGACAGGACAGCTTTCAATAGACCCAAAGTGGGTAGCTCCTTTCCGCAGGCAGGTTGCAGCCCTCAGCGGAGAGACCAAGCATGGGTAGCTGCCATCTGCAGGCAAGTTGTCCCAACATCTCTGTGAGTATGGCTGAGTGGTGGATGGGGCGGAATGGAGAGAGAGTCCTTTATGGGCTTCAGAAGGAAGGAAGTGCATTGTGCATGCTGATTAGTCCATGGGCAGCCATAGGCAGGCCTGGAAAAAGCACCATAAGTTCTTACTCCAAGCCATGGACTCCAGCCAGAACTGACAGCCCAGACCCCATACTTTAGGTCATCTCTGGCTTGAAGGTGGGGCTTCACTGTGCACCCACCCTTTTCTATGCAGAAGTCTGTCTTCCTCCTGCTGCTATCATATTGTCCATAGTGCCCACGCTGCTCATGCTGAGGAGTGCCTGCAGGCCCGACAAGCTGCCGTCAACCCTGCCTCAGCCTCCCTCCCATGCTGATCAGTGCATAAAGTCCAAGGGGGCCAAGGGCCAGGGTTTGGCATGTCAGCGTCACCCCAAACATGCGCACCCACAGGCAGGTCAGAAGAGCACCCGGGCTTGCCCTCAACTTTGCTCTGAAATCAGAGTGGGCACCAGGCACAGGGAGAAGCCAGGCAGTGGGAGTAGGCACTTCTGAGCCCGCGAGGCTGAGGGGGCTCAGAGGTCCCCAGGAGCACAGGGTGCCCACGTCCGCAGCTGTGGCTGGGTAGCTGCAGCAGTGCCTCGGAGGGCAGGGCTCCCACCCTGCCAATTCAGAAGGGGGCAGGGCTCCCCCTGTTCCCAGCCCTAGCTGCACCTCCCCAACTTCAGCCCATGTCTTCACAGCAGCCACTCCCAACGGGCTGCCACTGCCAACAAGATGACCTATTTTGCCAATATTCATCAACTAGAACATATTTCACACCACAGTGTTGATAAAGGAATATGCCAATAAGATGGATGCTTTCATTTATGATGAAAATAATTATTACAGAGAAGAGTCTGTATAATGGCAGCTATAACAACTGGATCTACTTGACAAGGTGGATGTAACATTTCAAACTATTGAAAAGGATGCTTTGAATTAATATAAAATAAAGAATGGGGCTGGAAATAACCCATCTACCATTTTACTGAATGAAAAAATCATTACTATTCTGTATATACTGTGAAGCTAGTAAATTGAGACATAAAATATTTTTTGTGAATTAAAAAATAAGTCAAATCAACATAAGTTCTTTCTTTGTCAAAGTTAATATTTCAAGATAAATAGGAAAACATAGAATTAATAAATATGCAAAGAATAACTCCAGTCCCCTTAACATATTCATGAGCCAATTAAGAAAATATGGTTGGCATTCCATTATTGGTGTTGGGAGGTTTGATTCAAAGAATAATTGGTCTGCTTGTGCATGAGACTATATGCTGAATCTTTTTTTCATATGTAACCTGCAGATAATTCATGTCTATTATATATTATTAAAAAATAATTTGGGGCCTATCTACAAGGTAACAACAAAACATTTCTAAGGACAAAATATTATTTTTTGTAGATTGTCCTCAATACATGGTGTTTAGTTAGTACTGTATTTACAGAGCCATCAATTCCTTTCTAAAGGGGCTGTCCTATTGTGGATTCAGGCATTTGCATTTACATTGCCTTACTTGTCAATCAGTTTTACTCACTCAGCTTTAATGAAGCAAGCCCAGGAACATGGACCAGAGAAATAAAAATCATAAACTTTCAGTGCATCTGTTTCTGCCTCAGAATCATGCATATTTAGTTGAAATGTTTTACATGTAACCTATACCACTGATAGTTCAAATTTTTCACCTTTAAAATATTTCTTTTCAGATTTGATGAAAACATCAGTTTAGAGATCAGTTAACAAAATAAAGCCTCATTAGGCTGGCAGATAATAGTAGTATAAGGCTGATATATGAACAACTGATAACAAAAGATAGAAGTTAGGGAGAGTTAGAATTCAGCATAATATGAAAAAATAGCCTATAAATTCCACATTGCCAGGAATTTGGTTCAGTGTGGTATCTCAGTTTCTTAGGACTGGTCATACAGTAAGCCCTCAATCAAAGTTCTTTTAAGTGAGTGGATTAGTTTGTTCTCACACTGCTGTAAGGATGTACCCAAAACTGGATAATTTATTAAGAAAAAGAGGTTTAATGGACTCAGTTCCACATGGCTGGGGAGGCCTCACAATCAAGGTGGAAGGTGAAGGAAGAGCAAAGACATATCTTACATGGCAGCAGGCAAGGGAGCATGTGTAGGGGAACGTCTTTTATAAAACCATCAAATCTCATGAGACTTATTCACTATCATGAGAACAGCATGGGAAAAACCCGGCCCCATGATTCAATTACCTCCCACAGAGTCCCTCCCATGACACATGGGGATTATGGCGGCTACAATTCAAGATGAGATTTGAGTGGGGACAAAGCCAAACCATATCAGGAAGTAAACTTTGAATGATACAACCCTCTGAAGATGGATCAGATTAACATGTCACTGGAATATCCCGCAAAGACAAAATAACAACACTTTAGGAATGTTGTCGAGGGGGCTCAAGTTTCACTGAAGCATTTGGATTTTGATGACCTTATTTATGGTTCTCCCCAATTAACTTCCAAATCTTAACATAGCAGAAATATGGTGAATAACAGTATCCCTTCTGCCTCATTATAAAAAGCAAAAGTGACATGTTTGACTACAGAAGATAAATTACCACATTTCTTTTTGAGACCTTCTGCAGAAGAGCCAGAATAATCTAGAAACACTTCCAAGGCCAACTAAGAAATAAGATGTTAAACATTTTTACGTGTGAAATTTAATCACTAAAGTTAATTTGGTTGAGAATTTAAATTAGCAAGAATCAAATTAAGAATATTTTTTTCATCTTTCAGGTATGTTGGAATACTTACCACAATCTAATTAAAAGAAGTCTAATCTAGTTGTTCTGGGTCACTCATTACTAGTAATCAGAAACTCTTGAATACATTGTTGAATTTTTCTATTTCAGTATTGTGTGGGTTTTTTTCCTTTTTCTTAGAACTAAAAATCTATTTGTTTTTTGTTTGTTTGTTTGTTTGCAAAGCAAAGTTTTTAACACCTTTCTAATGAAATTATTCTCTTTTAGATATTCAAATAATTTGTAATTTGTTGTCAGTTTCAGAGATTGGCTTAGAGCAAGACCATAAATATTCAGCTTGACATCACAAGACATCTGCTCTTTGATTGCAATATGCTACTTTTATGATTTTCTTTTGAGAACTCTGAGTTTTATTTACAAGTACCAGATTACATCCTATAAAACTTGAAGTGACTGCTTAGCATTAAGACTTGCAAATAACAATAAGATATATGCAGACACACATTAATAAATTGACCTTTATATTTTCCCCTCATGGTGCAATAGCTCATAGTCCCTCAGTAATTCCAAAGAACAGGGGCGAGGATGCAGAGACTTAGAGTTCATTTCAGACCTGGCACTAATTTTACACACACATAGAATAAGTTAATTATAATAAAGTTCATTGTTAATGCTAAAAAGCAGCATGTATGTGTGAGGGTCATGGGGGTGGAGGGAGATATATCTCTTATGAATACTGAATTATTGAACTTAAGAAAGAAATATGACTTTTTTTTTAACTGACTTGAGTCCTCTTTATATTAAGGATTCCCTTGTTTTCTATTTGTGTCTCTTTCATATAGAGCTTACATTTTGTTGTTTGTTTCCTTGCTACAAACTGAGGCCAAAAGGTTTGACTTCTAAAGTATTCTTTTCAAAGCTCTCAATTACTTAAAAATCCCTGGATTATCTAAAACTTCCCACAGACTACATTTATTTTAAAAGAATTGTGTGTGCATGCTTTTGTTCATTAACCATAGATTAAGAAGTGCAAGAAAATATGAACTATGAGGAACAAAAAGATGCTTCAAGAACTTTATGACTAAGTGTGTTGAATAATATACCTGAATATGCTGATCAAATAATGAAAGAGAATAAGCATGGTCATTATTTTATATCTATCAATGACATTGGCCATTCTGCTTAGAAAATATTTCTTAAAAATCTTATTTTTTATGTAGCCTATTTAATGATGTTTCTAATTTGCAAGCATAAGAAAGCAAAATGGTCATGTTTGAAAACCTGTTGCAGGGTTGAACTAAAAGCAGTAAGTGATGCCAGCATCACTGTCATAAATTTGTTTAATATAGTTGCTGCCTCAGCATTCAGTTTTAGACCTGACATAAGTTGTTTGAAACCTAGTCCAACCCCATCACTTTGGTTAAATTAAAACTTCCCCTCCCCATAGTGGTTGTTTACAACATAGCCTGCTTGTTCCTCCTCTTATTGGCCCAAAATCCAACACACACCACATCTGCTAACTACAATAAAACACATGATTAACACCAGAGTTATGTAAATAAGTTCTCCCTTTGCTGTGTTTTCTTTAAACTAGCCAATCCACAACCGCCACGCAAAAGCCTAAGGAATAATGCCCGTGGACCTTAAGAACCGCATAGTCCCACCGGTTCCTCTCTTTCTCTTTCTCTCTCTCTCTTCCCCAGCATCCATGTGTTGAGCTCCCTGTTGCCTCTGGGCTTCTTGCAGTCCTCCCATCAGCATCCCTTGCCTCTCTGGTCCTATTAGTAATAAATTTCTTCTGTTTCATACATTTTGGTTTTACTTCCTCATTGTGTCTCACCTGACACACACACCCAAATTTAACTTTCCACTGGTCAGGGCTCTCCTGGAGAGTGGCTATCCTGGCTTATGGCCAGTCTCATGACAGACTTCAAGACCAAATTAAATTAAAAGGAAACCATAACAATAGAAATCACAACCATCAGACTCAACAGGTCACCCTGCCCAACACCAACAACTCCTGAATTAGCCATCAAATGCTGAGCTAGAAACTTATTACAAATGAGACAAAGCAAGGAGAGTTCTACAGATTGTGTCCAGTTATAAATATTTTCCAAAATTATTGTTTGCTTTTGTGAGAATTTTCTTTTAATCCCCTGCAGTCACTGGAAAATAGAATTGCATACAAAGAATACATAAGAAGGGTTTAAATAATGCAGGCTGACCTTTCTAATTAAGGCCTTAAAAAGCAGTTTTCATGGTCAAGTTATAACTGTCAAGGCGCATTTCCCACAAATGTTTTGACTAATGTTAGAATTATAAATTACTTATAACTGAACTAGACAGTGAATCTCCAAGAAATCATTGAAATGTACAGAACTTTATAATACATAGTTTAAGCAGAATTTTCAACAGATACCCAGGCAGCTAACCATCTCTACTCATTTCTAACATCATAAACATAAGACACAGAGTAATAATGAATAGCTACTTTATACTTTAGTAAAGTGTTTATTGGCTTGAAAATATTAAACAGAATAAAAAATAACTCGTTAATTTATATTGTCTAACACTGTTTAGGCAAATAAAATTTGTATTCACTACATTTTATACTTACTTAGAATCTAATAACTACAAAATATTGAAGTATTTAAAATGGCATAGTGCTACTAGTGATTATCATGGTTTACATTAGCTGCTTTGAAAATGAACGCTTCGAAGCTTTTCCAACAATATTAGGTAATGTTTAACCTCTATGCTCAACTTTCTTCTGTGTTACATGAGATAGCAGGTACCTTAATTGGATGTCTTATTTCAGGATATCTGGGTGAATAATCCCTGCATAAGCATGAGAAAGGCCCTGGAGAAAAAGTAGAACTTCCATTTACTGTTCTCTGTGTGATCAAATGAGGTTTCCAATATTTGTTTATCTTTAAATTATCTCCAAAAACATAATTCTAGAGATATTTTATTAGTCCATTCTCACACTCCCATAAAGAGCTGAGACTGGGTAATTTATGAAGAAATGAGGTTTAATTGACTCACAGTTCTGCAGCTTGAACAAGAAGCATGGCTGGGAAGCCTCAGGAAACACAAGCATGGCAGAAGGTGAATGGGAAGCAAGCACTTATTCTCATGGCCAGCAGGAGAGAGAAAGAGTAAAGGGGGAAATGCCACACACTTTTAAACCATCAGATCTTGTGAGAACTCACTCACTATCATGAGGACAGCAAGGGGGAAATTTCCCCCAATGATCCAGTCACCTCCCACTAGGTACCTCCTCCAATATTGGAAATTATAATTCAACATGAGATTTGGGCGGGGACACAGAGCCAAACCATATCAGTTATAGTCCCATATTATGCAATTCAACTAGTAATTATTAAGTGCTGAAAATATACCCACACTCTTAAGTACTATAGGCTACTGTATTTTCACTCCTTTTATATAAATTTAAGTAAAAACAAAAAAACTTATTATTCTCATCCTTAAACCTCTACTTTTTTAATGCACTGGTAATCAGTCCAAAATATGTTCAATTATTTTTTGCCTACTCAATAATTTTTGTATTAAGACTCATGTTTGCCATGGATTAAATTATTTGCCAAATGACTACAAGTATCCTAGGCTTAGAGGAACTAAGGCCAGGGAATATTCATACTAAATTCTCTGTAAGCATGTAGATATGAAATGTAACACTCCAAAACTGGAGATTTGTTATCAAATCTTTATTATGATATTGTTATTGGGTATCTTTATTATGAAAGAAAATGAGTGATGCTGAAAAGAACACCAAAATGTGGAAGTTTCAAAAAGAAGCAAATTGAGAAATAAATTTAAGATAGTGTCTAATATAGTGATTTCAAAATAGTATTTGAGAAAAATCCTTTTGTTAAATATTGTTTGGGTCTTCTATAAAGTAAGTCAAAACATAGGTATAGTGTTAACTTTTTCTTACAGCCAGGAATATTATTAAGATATTACAGGAAAAAAAAGAATAACAGTACACTACACATTGACTTGTGAAAAAACAGCATTGAAGTTTCTGTTAGTTCAAACTTATAATCTTAAAAACACACTGAAAAGGTCTTAAAGTATCTGGACCAGATTCATCTTGATCAATAGTCTATTTTCCAGGCTCTTCCCATTGGTGTACCAGTTCTGAATCTTGATTCCCATGTAAGTTGGAAAAAGCCAATGGTAGCAACTGCCAAGAACACTTTTCTAAAAACCTACGTTTAGAATGAGTAGTAACTTTCTCTGCAATCAACTTAGACAGTTAACCACTCATTTTGACCTCCAGAACAAAAATAAAGCAAAAAAATCGACTGAAGGCTGATCTTAAAAATCTTGTATGTATTGTATGATCAGGGTTTCTATAATATATTTAAAATGAGATGCAGCTTTTAATGTATTGTATGGAAAGACCCTGCATCTGCTACAGTGCACTAGGACAGAGACAGAAAGCTTCATCCAGGGAAATAAACCTATAAGCACAGGCCAAAATAATTTACCTACCTTTGGCATATATCTTAAATGCCAGTTAAACTTGATATTGGAAAACACTCATTGGGGAATTTGCCTGTATACATGGCATCTACAGCACTAGCTCTGTACCACCCACTCAGTCCCTGGAGAGTTCTTCGAGCATCTTCTCTTCCCCTGAACTTCAGAAGAAACCATCTGCTGATGACACTGCCAGGAACTCGATCTCAGAAAGCCTTAAGCTGTTTTACTTCCATTTTTGTCTCAATCACTTTAACGTCTCACTGCTCTTTTCCTTCTGCTGGTGATCCAGGAGGTCTGCACCCCAACTCCTGTGTTCTGCTCTTCCCAGAAAAACTTCTTCCATCTGACTCCTTAGGGCATTTCCCCTTTCGTTCATTCAACAGATTCAGGCTGGGTCTCTCGTTTCTCTTCCATACATTTGCTTGTCTGTAAATACCAACCATTCACTCAAGGGTTTTTAAGGCTTTCTTCTTTACTATAAGGAGAAAAAAGGAAAGTATAATATCATCTGCAGTTTGATTTGAAATATGTAAAATCTATTTAGCATAGGGAGAAACTGAAAGAAAATATTAGAAATGTCAGTAGTTGTTCTGGTGATGTTTCCCCCACTTTCCTGTATTTTTTACATTTTCTATTAATGAATCTGTCCTATTTTCATAACAAAATAGTATCGTTATCTTAAAATAAAAGATGTTTTTTAAAATTATATATTTGGGGGAAGTTGATACAAGTGATGCTTTTAAATAGTAAAACCAAACAGATGACTACAAAATATGACTGTATTATATGAAAAACAGCTTTTGTCAGTATTTCCATTAAAATACAAATTGGAACTTACACAAACAACAACAAAAAAGACGAATACTTTTTAAAAAATCTTAATCTAAAACAATATCATAAAATCAGTTCACTTTTCATGAAAAAGTTTCTGATTTTAAAAAACATAGATATACAATTTTGGGTATGTACAAATTGCATATTGTAATGCAATGATATCTTGTAATGCATATGTAAACATATGTTATTAACTTGATTTAGTCATTCCTAAACGTATGCATATTTCAAAACATCATGTTGTACACAATAAACATGCACAATTTTTATTTGTCAAATAAATAAATAAAAAGATGCATGTTGTTTTTTTTTAAGTATCATCCCTCAGCCACAACTAAGCAGAGAAGCATGGTGTTCTGACAGGTTAGGAGAGGATCCATCAGTTCAAATCTCTCCCTGCATCAATGGTGTGTCTACCTGCCCAAGCAAACAGAGCTCTGAAGATGCCTAAAATGAATCCCCAAAATGGAACTAAGTACACTTACTTGGGAGCTTCCATACATAGGCAGAAAGGTCACCTTGTTATCCAACTATTCATTCTGTGTGTGCCTTCTAGTCTGGTGTTGCACACATAAGCAAAAGAAATCCTAATCTGAAAACATTCACTAATAAATTCACACTACTTCCTAGATGACTCTAGTGTTTAGTGATACCTTTGGGCATCTGTCTCTTATTGATTTGGGACATCTGATAATGCCATGCAAATCACTTGCATAGAGAAATTAAAATTGGAAGATTGCATGAAACATACACAGAAACTTTCACAAATCAATGCTTAGGAAAGTTAGACTAGTGAACAGTCTAGAGAAAATGGACAGAGTGATAAAGAAACAAGAATGATGACTAACAAGGGATTAGAGATTGATGTTCAGGACAAATGACTTTTTAATTACACTACACAGTCAAAGATGAAATGAAAATGATAATATCTTAACATATTAATTTTTCTGAAAATTTACACCAATCAAAATTAATCTTTGATTCATTCTGAGTCATGTTAAGAGTTAACATATAGATGGAATTATAATACATTGCATAATATACAGTTTCATTTTCTAAAATTGACATCACAATCAAATCTTGTTTTTCTTTGACTATTCACCATGATATTTGGCTTGGTTAAGTGGTCTCTTAAAAAGAGATATCAATTTTTTCGTATACTACAAAGACCATATTTTTTACAATATAAGCCTTAAGAAAAGATTAAATTTTTCTTTTGAGGAATATATCAGGTGCTAAAGGTTAAGAATTTTATTTGGAAGAAACTTTTTAATCACAGTCACCTACCAGCACCCTCCCTCCCAATTCTCACCTGTCCTGAAGATATAACGAGCTTAAGAACTTCTACAAAAGCAAAGCCATTAATACACCTGAACAATGTCTATTGGAACTATAGATGGAAGCTAAAAAGTTCAAGAGAAAAAAAAAAGATGAAAGTGAGATTCAAAGAGAAGGGAAATAACAGGGAGAAATACATAAGAGTTGTAAGTTGCATGAAACATTAATTTTGTAGAGTGCCATCAAAATTATCTTAGCAATACCAAGACTACTGTCTTTGAATTGGAAGCCAGTGAAGAGAAAATATAGTACAGCACCCTCCCCTCGCTAAGCTAGCTTTGTGTCACTTCTTGTATATTTTCTTCCATGTCTTTAATCTTCCCACCTAGAATGACCTCTGCCTTCCCACCTCCAACTATGCAAAACCACCCCTTGCTGCAAAGTCCAAATGAAGCTGCACTTCCTTGGTGACTTCCATGATCACTCAGTTTACAATGGACTGTAGCACTTAGTTCTTTAAGTATAAACTCAGTCTTTTACTGCTAGTTCCATGTTATGTTTGTACGATTGTGTCTGTAATTAACCTGTGAGCTCCTTGTGGGCAGAGGCTGAGTTTCTTTCATCTTTGTAACCATATTGCCCGGTATGTTGTCTAACACGTAACAGTCACTGAAGAAATGTTTTCTAGTATGAATGGACAGAATATATATCATTCAGAAACTAGAAGAGTGCTTGGCACTATTAGGTCAAAGGAATAGGTGATCAGTTGATGTCACCTGAGGCACATTCTTTTTTGTTTCAAACCAGCTGGATGTGAGTTTAGTAAAGGTTTCCTGAAGTTTGTATACATAAATATTAAGAATAATTCTCTCTCAACTTTCCTATTTTCCTTCTTTATCAATCATCAGGTGACATGGTTTGGCTCTGTGTCCCCACCCAGTTCTCATCTTGAATTGTATTCCCATAATTCTCATGTGTTGTGGGAGGAACCCAATGGGAGATAATTTGAACCATGGGGACAGTTTTCCCCCATACTGTTCTCATGGGAGTGAATAAGTCTCTCGAGATCTGACGGGTTTATCAGGGGTTTCTGCTTTTGCATTTTTCTCATTTTCTCTGCCGCTGTCATGTAAGAAGTGCCTTTAGCCTCCCACTATGATTCTGAGGCCTCCCCAGCCATGTGGAACTGTTAAGTCCAATTAAACCTCTTTTTCTTCCCAGTCTCGGGTATGTTTTTATCAGCAGCGTGAAAACAGACTAATACAGTAAACTGGTACCAGCAGAGTGGGGCGCTGCAGAAAAGTTACCTGAAAATGTGGAAGTGCCTTTGGAACTGGGTAACAGGTGGAGGTTGGAACAGTTTGGAGGGCTCAGAAGAAGACAGGAAAATGTGGGAATCTTTGGAACTTCCTAGAGACTTGTTGAAAAGCTTTGACAAAAATGCTGATAGCGATATGGACAATAAGGTCCAGGCTGAGGTGTTATCACACAGAGATGAAGAACTTGTTGGGAACTGGAGCAAGGGTGACTCTTGTTGTGTTTTAGCAAAGAGACTGGCAGCCTTTTGCCCCTGCTCTAGAGATTTGTGGAATCTTGAACTTGAGAAAGATGGGTACCTGGTGGAAGAAATTTCTAAGCCCCAAAGCATTCAAGAGGTGACCTGGGTGTTGTTAAGGGCATTCAGTTTTATAAGAGAAGCAGAGCGTAAAAGTTTGGAAAATTTGCAGCCTGACAAGGTGATAGAAAAGAAGATCCCATTTTCTGAGGAGAAATTCCAGCCGCCTATATAGAAATTTGCATAAGTAACGAGGAGCCAAATGTTAATCCCCAAGACAATGGGGAAAATGTCTCCAGGGCATGTCGGAGGTCTTCACTGCAGCCTTCACAGGCCTGGAGGCCTAGGAGAAAATGGTTTCTGGTTTCGTGGGCTGGGCCTGGGGTCCCCTTGCTGTGTGAAGTCTAGGGACTTGGTGCCCTGTGTCCCACCCACTCCAGCCATGACTAAAAGGGGCCAAGGTACAGCTCAGGCTGTTGCTTCAAAGGGTGAAAGCGTCAAGCCTTGGCAGCTTCCATGTGGTCTTGAGCCTGTAGGTGCACAGAAGTTAAGAATTCGGGTTTGGGAACCTCCGCCTAGATTTCAGAGGATGTATGGAAACGCATGGATGCCCAGGCAAAAGTTTGTTTCAGGGGTGGGGCACTCATGGAGAACATCTGCTAGGGAAGAGCAGAAGGGAAATGTGGGGTCAGAGCCCCCACGCATAGTTCCTACTGGGGCACTGCCTAGTTGTGAGAAGAGGGCCACCATCCTCCAGACCCCAGAATGGTAGATCCACCAACAGCTTGCACCATGTGCCTGGAAAAGCCACAGACACTCAATGCCAGCCCATGAAAGCAGCTGGGAGGGGGCTATACCCTGCAGAGCCACAGGGGTAGAGCTGCCCAAGACTATGGGAACCCACCTCTTGCATCAGCATGACCCGAATGTGAGACCCGGAGTCAAAGGAGATCATTTTGGAGCTTTAAAATTTGACTGTCCTGCTGGATTTTGGACTTGCATGGTACCTGTAACCCTTTTGTTTTAGCCAGTTTCTCCCCTTTGGAATGGCTGTGTTTACCCAATACCTGTACCCCTGTTGTATCTAGGAAGTAACAAGCTTGCTTTTGATTTTTCAGGCTCATATGTTGAAGGGACTTGCCTTGTCTCAGATGAGACTTTGGACTGTGGACTTTTGGGTTAATGCTGAAATGAGTTAAGACTTTAGGGGACTGTTGGGAAGGCACGATTGGTTTTGAAATGTGAGGACATGAGATTTGGAGGGGCCAGGGGCAGAACAATGTGGTTTGGCTCTGTGCCCCTACCCAAATCTCATCTTGAATTGTACTCCCATAATTCCCATGTATTGTGGGAGGGACCTAGTGGGAGTTAATTGGAATCATGGGGGCACTTTCCCCCATACTGTTCTTGTGGTAGTGAATAAGTCTCACGAGATCTGATGGGTTTATCAGGGGTTTCCACTTTTGCATCCTTCTTATTTTCTCTTGCCACTGTTATGTAAGAAGTGCCTTTAGTCTCCCACCATGATTCTGAGGCCTCCCCAGCCATGTGGAACTGTAAGACCAATTAAACCTCTTTTTCTTCCCAATCTCGAGTATGTCTTTATCAGCAGCATAAAAATGGACTAATACATCAGGCAAACAAAAGAAAAAGGAAAATCTCAGAAGTTGAATTTCTTCTACCCAGTTTAGGTATATGTGATTGGTACCCTTTGCTGATTGCAGGTTTTTGCTAAGGAATTCAGCTGCTGTCAAGGTAATATTAACTCTGAAGTAGCTTTCTTCTTCTGTCCTCATTACAATCCCAAATTCGTTTTTACATAAATAATTTTTTGAAGTTGTAGAATATTCAATATAGTACTTATTTAACTTAAATCTCTCATAAATTTTGAGAAAAGACCATAAACCTTTTCTGAGACAAAACTTTACAATACTAGACACCAACTATCAAACCTTCAATAAAATAATTACAAAAGAATATTTTCTTTACTAAATATATTAATTTCTACTTGTGTTTCTCTAATGATTAAATAAACTATTGCTGAAACCCATTAAGACAAGCAAAGTATGTGCATCGATAAGAAAGGAATAATATACTAAAGGCTTGTCATTATAAGGATTTAGATGTGTCACCAAAGTCCAGTTCCCTGGGCTGACATAGTGTTTTATAGAATTGAAGGTAAGAAGAACTTATATAGAAAATCTGGCAGTTTCTTAGGCCAGTTGTCAAATGTTAGCATTACCAAAGTTCCATTATAATTGAAAGTAAGTAATTTATTGAATAATTTTAAAAATATAATATGCCTTCTCTTAATTCTGAGCTGTCATATTTTCATAAGGAATGAGTTTGTACAAACTAAGGTCATCTCTGCTGCTGTGTCAAACAGACCTGGAAATAGAATGCACTCCTGTGTAAGCCATTGAGAGAGTCTCCAGGAAAACGAATGTGTAATTGTTTCCAGTCAATGTTCAGTTTTTTTCTGACTTGTTGATTCAGTATATTTTGAAGCATAAAAAATAATAAGATGTATTAATTAAATCTTTTATTAATTTATTTTTTTATTTTTTATCTTTTATTAAAATAAGATTTATTTAGACAAAGCCAAACTTCAGTCTTAATAGATCAAGCACAAATATGATAATCTCACTGGTAAGTTAATTCCGTGTAGAGATATGTCAGTAATATTTTTACAGCTGGCTAGATCATACTTTAGATCACCAAGTTGCTATGAGTCTTTTGGTGGGAATTATTTTAAATACAATTGTTAGACATGTCTATTCTTAAAATAGACAAGAATTACCTGGGTTAACCGTTAGCTTGTTTTGAACTACATCTAATATTAATTAGCCAAGGTATCAGCACAGGAAGAATTTTTAAATTTGCTTAAATAAAAATACTTTAAATGATGTGTACAATTTCATGTATATCTACAGACTAAAAGTGCTTTTACTTACAAAAGTCATTTTGAGCAGTCAGTATTGTGACTCTAAACCAGCAGTTCCCAGACTTTTGGTCTTGGGATCCTTTCACACTCTTGAAAATGAAGGAAGACTGAAAAACTGTTCCAGACAGCAGGAGACCAGGCAAAAGTAATAACAAAATGTGATATGGGATTCTGAATCAGTTCCTGGAGCCAAAAAAAAAAAAGACATTAATGGAAAAGCTAGTAAAGCTTAAATGGGGTTTTTATTTGTTAATGGCATTGTAGTAATGTTAATTTACTGATCGGATAAGTATATCATGGTTATGTAAGACGTTCTCATTGTGAGAGGCTGCAAGAAGGATTTTTGAAAACTCTCTGTACTATTTTTACAACTTTTTTGCACATCTAAAGAAACTCATAATAAAAAGATTTTATAAATTATTAAGAACAGCAAAAAGCTTTTGTTTATAGAGGTATCAATATCAACAATATCAATATTCAAAATTTTAAACTGAGAAATGTTAAGGTATATACTTATTAAGTCATTTTTAATGTAATAACTATCCAGTTAGATGTTAACATAAATAGCAATTTTATGAAAAATAATTATATATTTTAAAATAAAATATTTAATTAGAAGAGTAGCATTATTTTACATTTTTGCAAATCTCTTTAATGTCTGGCTTAAAAGAAAACACTTGGTCTCTTGTATCTGTTTCAACATTCAGTTTATTCTAATATACAATATAGAGTGGTGTTGGGGTTTTTTGATTGAAGTAAATAAAAAATAAAATAACCTCACAGAGGTATATAGTTGAAAAGGGAAGAAGGATATCTTTTAGAATTTTTCTGATAACTGTGGATATTCTCCTTTGATACTAAACCAAAACTCACCAAGTGATGATTTCTTTAAGGTTAGCTGCAACATGGAATCTGAAACCATAATAAAACTTATTTTTCACTCTGTTACATTAAAATCTATTGGACTATTTTGCACTTTAAGCTTTTACCCACATGTGATTTTGTACTATCACGAATCAGTCATTTGAAAAATATTTCTTATGCAGAGTTTCTAAATGTTAAATGTCTAATTATAAGATATAGATAAAAGCCCACAATTCTTAATATCATTACTAATCTCATCAGAACCATCTTTAAGTGTTGATAATCTTTCAAGTTTATGGTAGCAAATACAAGTCTTACAAAATTCTAATTTTTCACTTGAGCGGTTGGGTTTCATTATGGACAACATACACTGTCAGTGTCTTCCCAACAAGCTCACTTCGTTCATTTTTGAGGAAATGCCTACCAAATAACAAGACTGAAAAACCATAGATAGTCAGTTATTCTTTCAAGTAAAAATAGTGTTCTGTGTAAACCCCAGGTAGTTCAGCTCACAACCCAAACAATTGCGCAAGTGCTTTCTTTGAGGCAACTCTCATACTGCATTGTGTAGTAGAGTGGTTTATGCAGAATATATTTGAAAACATGTATACTTGAAGCCAAAATGTAATAAAAGTGATTATTTATACTGCCTTTTCAAGGGCATGCTCAGGGCAAACTGGCTTCATTTTTTTTGTTCTGTAGTGATGAAGACCGCAATGACTTCTGACAACAGTTGGGCCCACTGCCTATATCTGTGCTAAGGCACCACAGTTTAACCCACTATGGCTTTGCACCACCAGGGTGCAAATGGCAAAACAGTGCAAAGGGCAAATATATTCTTACTGTTATGAATAGTTTTGGCTTCACAGACTCCTAGGTACCCCCCAAGCTTCCACAAACCACACTTTGAGAGCCTCCACTCTAACAGAAAATGAAATCTCATCACAATAGCAAAATGTATTCTTCTACAAAATAATACTGGGCAATGGTTGCACAGAGATAGATGTGGAATATTTTCTAGAGAAAAGAAACAGTTTTGAGAAGCTCTGTGAGTGAAAAGACACATCCTTCCTGAGTTTACATAATAGATAGATAGAACCCTGGGCTTTTGCAGAGCCATTCAGAATCAGTGGGCGTATGGAAAAGTAGAGTTCCATTTTCTTGAGTCATGCAGCGATAGGAAAGGAGAGTGGCACAGGGAAAGACAAACTAATGTATATAATCTTTACTTTTAACCAATAGAAAGACCATGGTCTCTGCTAAATTCTCCGTGTTGTTCACAATGTGACATGCTCCCTGAAAACAGGAATTGCTTTTTATTTTTTAATCCCTAGGCCAAATACAATGATTAGTATCTAGACAGGATTCAATAAGTGCTGAAAAAATGAATAGACAGGCTGGGTGCAGTGGCTCACACCTATAATCCCAGCAGGGATTTGGGAGGCCAAGGTGGGAGGATTGCTTGAGATCTGGTGTTAAAGACTAGCCTGGGCAACATAGTGAGACTGTTTCTAAAAAAAAAAAATTAAAAGAAAAACATTAGTCAGGTGTGGTGGTGCATGCTTGTAGTCCTAGCTACTCTGGAGGCTGAGGCAGGAGGATCGCTTTTGCCCAAGAGACTGAGGCTGCAGCAGCCTGGGTAACAGAGTGATACCCTGTCTAAATAAATAAATAAAAATGACTGGACAAACAACAAACTAAAATGCCTGTAGTTATTAAACATTATTTGACTTCAGGATAGGAAACAAGGGAATTGATTATTAAACTGCACAACAGGATGGAGATCTAAAAAGAGAACAAAGTCCTAGTAGGAAAATTCAGGGTACTTGAGAATTCATATTTCTTGTGATTCTCTTTTGCATTTCTTTCGATCTATCTGGTACAACTTTTCTCCTTTACCTAAAGCAATTTTGCTAATGGATTTAGTAAAAAAAAAAAAAAAAAAAATTAGAACAACACACATAGATGTATTTGTATACATTCAAGTACTGAGCGCTCCCAGAAATTCAAACCTGCAATCACCCACGTAGGTGAATTTCAGGTAGAAAAGTGGGGACAGGGTAGCACTATTGAGTCACAGAAGAAATTGAAGTCTGCATCCTGGGTTTGAGTCTGGCTCTGCCATTGCAGACTGTATAAACTAGATTAATTATCCTCTCAGTTCAGTCACCTCACAGGTAAAGTCAAATAACAGTCTGGGTTATGCTTACCCTAGAATTTTATGAAGAGCAAATTGCAGAGATTAAGATAATAAGATAAGTTATACAGCCTTCAAAAAACTGAGAGTCTTTTTATCTTCCACTCCACCACATTGTCAGTGGGGAAAGTTTAGTTCACTCCTAGAGTGCCTGGCAGGTGATATAAGATGAAATCACATAGACTACATCTCTCCTCCCACCTGGCCTAGGTAGGATAAAACTTCAACAAACTCAAGGCATGAAGCATTTTTTTCCTGTCTTTCTCGGTCCCTCTTCTCCCTGTGCTGCTCTCATCCTCTTGGCCTGCCATGTTGTAGCAGAAGTGATGATAAAGAATTCACATATAACCCTCCATGTGAGGAGGGTATTTAGTGAAAAGGCAGAGATAAAAGATAGTTTCTCACTCTGCATATCTCCTCTTACCCCTGCTACACACACGTAGGACTTTCCCTAAAGGCCAACATATTTTTGGCTGATGGCTACTCTCAATTTTTCTACGGACAAGATGAGAATGTGGAAAATAAAAAGCAACTGTCTCCGCATATACTTCATCCCATTTCATTTGAAGCAATGGGCAGAAAAATAAACATGGAGAAAGTATGCCTTGGGCAAAGGGCACTCAGCTTATACAAATTCTGCCCAAACATAAAAATAATTGAAAGGGTTTTTAAACACCAAGAGAATGAAACATTCAGAGACTTTTCTAAACGAGCTATGAATAACCTTATATTATTAACTCATCAATTGCTAAATAAAAACTAATACATTTAGATTATTCACCTTGGAAAAAATAATGGAAAGAACATGATTTTGCAGCACACTAATATTTTTTGAAAAACTAAAATATCTCATTATTCCAAAATCAGTTGTGATGCAATTAAATGCGAAGGCAATTTATTTCTCTTCCTGATATCTGACATTATTCAAATGAAAAGTAACATAATCCATCTTGAATTCTTACTCTTTTAGAAAACAAAAGAAATGTTAGAAATGTTACTCTTTGAAATGAAATATTTTTCTCATTTATGCAAATGATTGCATCTTAAATTCCATACAATAAAATAATGTAAATCAATATGCCTTCTAATACAAATGAAAACTATGGCCTAAACTTTTCTTGACCATTAAAATCTTTCGCGGTAGTGACATGATCTTACTGGTGAAACTGATTAAATCTCTTCTTTAACATATACCACAAGAGAAGAGAAAGTAATACAAACTAGAAATCTGCATTCATTCGGCCAAATTTTATTTTTTCATGGTCTTGCATTTGAGCACTGCTAGATGTCATTGCATGAAGTGTCAGCTCAACAGAGATTCAAAAGAAGAACAAAACTGCAATTTATTGGAGGTGATAAAGCATTAAAATCTGCTTTATTTTATGGCTAAAGTGTTTCATTACTATTTAATGTCATTGTTTTAAACATGATATTGTTGGAATCTCTTTAACAATGCTAAGCTTTAAAAACTCAAGTCAAACACCCTTTTGTTATCATAGGGGGACTATAGATTCAATTATTTCCAGGTTTGACAATTAAACTTTACCTCTCCTTGCAAAAACTCACATTTCCTACAGCAAAACAAAGGGTGATCATATCTTAAGAGGGGAGCTCAATGAGTGAGTGTTGTCAAATAAGCACACATTGGCTGTGTGTACAAATGATCTAAACACAGTTACTACAAACATTCTCATTAAAGACATGAACTTAGGTTCCATTAGATCCATATCATAAGAAACTATTGTTATCATCCTAACAACTGAACCAAGCTGGAGCAGTTACAAAACCATAGTCTTTTACTTTTAATTCATTGCAAAGTTGAGTACACAAAGAAACCTGAATGAACAAAATTCCAGAAAGTAACAAACTTTTCATACGGGAGAAAAGATCCGGGGCTGCTCTTATCTATAGAAAAATAGGAGGATGATGAAGTGCCAGCCAAATCATTTATAAGCATTTAATTGCAAAGTGTGGGTAACTGTGACATTAAAAACTTGAAGGAGGTACAGAGAGAATACAGGACTATGCCAACCTGAAAACTCTTAGCCACAGGTCCTTACTGAGAGCCCAGGGGTGTATACCAAAGGCTGACATCGGCAGGAAAACAAATAAGAATGCCTGCAAACTTCTTATCAGAAAAGGCATAAGCCAAAAGACAATGGAACAACGTAGAGTACTGTAAGAAAATAACCAGCAGGCTAGATTCTCTATCTAGCAAAATATCGTCAAAAAAATGAAGGCAAAGTAAACACATTTTTAGAAAAACTAAAGCTGAGAAAATGTGTTCCTAACACACCTACACTAAAAGAAATGTTAAAGGAAGTTCTTCAAGCTAAAAGAAAATGACACCAGATGGAAATTAGAATCCATAGAAAACAGAATGCTAGAAATAATAAACGTGAATAAATATAAAAGATTGTTTTGTTATTTATTAACCTCTTTAAAAAATAATTAAGAGAACAGAAAATTCACTAAAAATATTCAAAAATGACATAAAAAACATAAAAAGCCTTTAGTCTCACTAAAATTAGAGAAATTAAACAACACAAAGACACCATTTCTCACCTATCAGACTGGCAAACGTCTAAAAGCAAGACAGCAAATTCTGTTGACAAGGCTATAGCAAACACATTTTCTCATACACTGCTTATGTGAATGAAAATTGGTCTATGACTTCTGGATGAAAATTTGACAATATTTAGCACAACCACATATATATCCTGAAAATACTCTTCTAATAATATGAATATTATGCATAGGCTGAAATAATATGCATAGGGTTATTTATTGCTGCATTGTTCATATTTGCAAAGTAGTGGTAATAAACCAAATATCCATGTGTTCGAGAGGGATTGAATAAATTATGATACATTTACACAATGGAATACTATGCAGCTATAAAAAGAACGAGGAATATTCCTCTAAGATGACTTGTTTTTCACAGGCTATATTGGTAAGTGGAAAAAAGCAAATTACAAAGCATTATGTCATAATCTTACAACATAAGATTCTATACGTCATGTGAGAAAGAAAGGAATACTAGAATAACTATAATTAAAAAGAGATAACAACAAGTTGGTGAGAATATGGAGAAATTGGAACCCCCCACATATTGCTATTAATAGTAGGAATGTAAAATGGTGCAGCTGCTTTGGAAAAACAGTCTGGCAGTTCATCAAAAGTCAAACATAGAGTTATCAATGACCCAGCAATTCTATTCCTACTCATGTATGAATAGAAATGAAAACATGTTTGCATAAAAGCTGTACACAAATGTTCGTAGCAGCCTTATTTATAGTAGCCTCAAAATGGAAACAACCAAAATGCCCATCAACTGATAAATGGATAAATAACGTGGTATACACATACAGTGAAAAATTATTCAGCAATAAAAAGGAATAAAGTACTGATTGATGCTACAACATGGATGAATCTTGAAAATATGTTGCATGCAGGAAACCAGCCACTAAAGACCATATAAATTAGTTGTTATCTCGGGCTGGGAGGAGGGTTATGGAGAATAACAAATTATGTCTACAGAGTTTCTTTTAGGGATAATGAAACTATTCCAAAATTGATTATGGTGATGATCACACAACCCTGTGAATACCCTAAAATCATGTACACTTGAAATGGGTTAATGTTACAGTATGTGAATTATATCTCAGTAGAGCTACTATATTAAAACAAGAAGGAAAGAAGATAGAAAATATACATCATTTATGCAAAAGAAATACAAGAGAGATAAGTTGTAAACTTAAAAGATTCATTCCAACAGAGAGTGGGTAGGAAATGACAAAAAGAAGGGGAAAATGGACTACAGTAGTAGAGATTAAGAGGAAGAAATATTTCTTAATAAGTTTTTAATGTATATATTTATCTTATTTATAATGATATGGTCTGGCTCTGTGTCCCCAGCCAAATTTCATCTTGAATCGTAATCCCAATTGTAATCCCCATGTGCTGGGGGAGGGACCTTGTGGGAGGTGATTAGATCATGATTCCCCATGCTGTTCTCATACTGAGTGAGTTCTCATGAGATCTGATGGTTTTATAAAGGTCTTTTCCTCCCTTTGTTCTGCACTTCTCCTGCCACCATGTGAAGAAGGACGTGTTTGCTTCCCCTTCTGCCATGATTTTAACTTTCCTGAGGCTTCCCCAGCCACGCGGAGCTGTGAGTCAATTAAACCTCTTTCCTTTATAAACTACCCAGTCTTGGGTATTTCTTCATAGTAGCATGAGAACAGACTAATACAGGATACAAACATGAGGTTTCTGGATCAAGGCAAATTATTATTACTTATAGTAATAACCACATCAGTTCCTCTTGCCCTAATATCCTAGGCACAAAGCACAAAAACCAAATGTTACCCTATATATATATATATGAGGTGGGTCCTGAAGGAGAATACCTCCAAAATTATGAGCCTGACAGTTTGTATAGGAGAAGAAAAGCTGCCCTCTATTCTTTTCTGCCAGAGGAAAGGCAATATCCACTCCCTAGTTGTCTACAATAACATGCAATGTAAATGACAGGCTTTAGGGCTCTAGGTCTCATCCCCATTTGAAATAAAACAAAGTCTCTCAGGAAGATAAAGGAGAAAGTTCCTACCCTGCAATGCAAACAGTTGGCTCTAGAAAGATAAGTTTTACTACTGACAGTAGGAGCAAATGTCTTGTGGTCTAATACCCTTTAATTTCCAAGACTTATCTTTTAATCCAGGTCCTAATTTTCATTACTCAGGAAGTCCCAATTATGCACAAACATGAAAATATCTTCCTTTCCTTCACGATATTTCTCTGGGTATATTCTCAGCATAGCTTTGATTTTTAGAACCATAATAAAGTCTCAAATACCCATAAAACTAAATAGTTATTAAAATCACTCAAATTGTTGGGGGATCTGAAAATTGAATACAAGACAGTAAGAGATGAACCTAAATATGTTACAAGTGAATAGGATAACCACACTGAACGGAATGAGGTAGAAAAGAACTAATCTAAGTAACTTAGAGTTTGGTGTGGACATTATAAAGCTAAACATGTAAGTAACTATTCACAAATGTACTTAGTAAATCTGTTTCTGAAAGGAGCATGTGTATACAATGATCTAACAAATAAGTAAATATATTGTAGATAAAGAGACTCTGTTTCCATTGTCAAAGGAAGAAGTTACGAATAAGAAAAAGGAGGACAGAATTAACCCTATAGTGTCAGATTATAATTGGAGGCATAACTATGAATTCATGAGCATTAATATATGTTAAGTTATATATAGAAATATAAATGCAGAATTGTATGTATGTGTGAGTAGTATACTTGCATATATTTCCAAACCCTGTCATTTGAGAGATCCTAAAAACAATAACACTTCCGTAACAAGTACTCTGTGCCTGGATCTTTGTTTCTAAATACCATTCGCCAATCAAAAGAACCATGGCTAGTCAGAGAAGTGGTTGATTCCAAGGCTGATGCAAAAATTAAAATAAAATAAAATGAAACTGAAATATATCATGGTGTCAGAAAATGCTAGAATAGCATGAGTCACAAAATTAAAAATGATAATATTAAATAATATTCAAAGGAGTAAACATTTATGACTTCCCAATTTATTTTAAATAATTGAATACATAAATAAACATGGGAGAATAAATAGTTCTTCATTACAGAAAAATTTCAATTAACAAATATAAAAGAAATTAGGGAAATACAAAATCAACCTCAAACAAGTATCATAGTAATAATTGCTGCAGGCAAAACTCACTGATGACGGCTAAAATCAGTGAGCACGGTTTTCAGGAAAAATGATATTTGAGTGGTTTCACAGTGTTTTGCCCAAGATATTTATTAATTGCAAAAAGGAAAGTGATAATTTTATGGTGGAGCAACCTGGCAGACAATATTTTAGTGAAAATGATTAAAGTTAATATCATCTGTAATGAGACATATTGACATCATATACACCCTGATATGATGCACTGGGAAGGACACAACATCACTTCTACAGTGTACTTGCCAAAGATGTATCAATTTAATCACAAGAATACAAGAGTCAAAACCAAACTGAGAGACACTCTACAGCATAACTGACCATTATTCATTAAAACTGTCAAATTCAAGAATTATCATTGATTAGAGGAGACTAAAGAGACATAAAAAGTAACTGCAATGTGGAATACTGGATTGGATCCTGAGATAGAAGCAATGAACTACTGGAAAACTGATGGAATTCAAGGAGCATCTATTGTTTGCTTAAAAGTATTATGCCAAAGTCAATTTCTTTGTTTTGATAATTATCCTTGCTAATATAAGATGTTAGTATTAAGGGAAGCTGGATGAAAGAATACATGAATTCTTTGTATCATTTTTGCAACTTTCCTATATATAAAATTATTTCAAATGAAAAAAATTCTTGCACACATATGTTCATTGCGCACTATTCACAATAGTAAAGACATGAAATCAACCCAAATGCCCATCAATGATAGGCTGGATAAAGAAAATGTGGTACATATACACCATGGAATACTATGCAGCCATTAGAAGGAACAAGATCATGTCCATTTCAGGGACATGGATGGAGCTAGAAGCCATTATACTCAGCAAATTAACACAGGAACAGAAAACCAAACACCACATGTTCTGACTTACAAGTGGGAGTTGAATGATGAGAACACATGGACACAGGGAAGGGAACAACACCCACCGGAACCTGTCTAGGTGGAGGGCGAGGCATGGGAGGGAGAGAAGAGGAAAAATGCATGCAGGGCTTAATACTTAGGTGATGGGTTGATAGGTGCAGCAAACCACCATGACACACGTTTTCCTATGTAGCAAACCTGCACATCCTGCACATGTATCCCACATGTATAAAAATAAAAAAAAAAACTGAGAGGCTGAACACAAGGAGGAAACTGTTATATTTTTTTTAAAAAAGAAAAGAAAGAAAAAATTCAAGAGGTAATTTATTGTTTTAAAAATAGTAAGTTAGTGTGTGGTTTGTAATATGTGTAGAAATAAAGTGTATGAAAATAATAGTCCAAAGGGTATGGTAGGGAAGAAATGAAAAGGTATTCTTAAGAAGTTCTTATATTACATGTACAGCAATATATTATTATTTAAAGATAGGCTGTGATAAGCTAAGGATACATTTTGTTAATAATTAAGCAACTACACAAATAATAATACAAATAATTATGATTAAGTCAATAGCAGAAATAAAATAGATACTAAAAAGTATGCAACTGAAACAAAATGGGTAAACAGGAAATAAAGTAACACAGAATGGATGAGGCAAATAGAAAACAAATAGACAATGCTAGCTGTAAATGCAAACATTTCCATAATTATTTTTTAAAGTTGTCTGAACATTTCAAAGATAAACACTTGCAAAAAGTTTTTTTAAAGCAACAACTGTATCTATAAAACATACCTTTTCCACAAATATACAGAACAATCTAATAAAAATCACACAAAAGATTTGAACATTTTGCCAAAAAAGAGGTATAGTAAAAAAGAAAAGTAAAAAATAAAAAGGTACAGTAAAAATACAACATTATAATTTCATAGGACCACTATGATATACAATTGGGTCAACAATGGACAGTATATACCCTTAAGATCATTAGTGAAACTGAAAATTTTCTACCACCTAGTGACATTGTAGTCGTCATAATGTCATAGTGCAGCATATTACCTTTCCTATGTTTAAATACACAATTAGAAGAGAAGATGGTGGATAGGAGGCAGGACTAGCTTGCAGCTCCCACTCGCACAGACACAGTAGCATGTGGAGACTCACATTGTGAACTTCTGCTCCACCAACTACCACAGCAACATACCAGGAATGCTGAGAGAATCCACAGACCCTTTGAAGGAACTGCATCACTGCTACAGGCTCCCTGAGACTCTGAAAAGCTGTGAGTCGGCTGGTTTTCTCAGCAGGGAGGCTGGTGGTCTGGGGCAAGTTCTCAGCCCTGGTCACCGGCTGCATGGAAATAAACTCAGTGCTGTTGGGGGTGCACGGTGGTCAGAGTGAGAACTGGCCTTTAGGACTGCAGGCCGTGTGGAGTGGGGTGAATCCTTGGCTGCCGGATTTCCACCCTTTCCCTGGCGACCTGTGTGACTCAGCAGAGGCAGCCATAATCCCCCTGGAAACATAACTCCATTGGCCTGAGAACCACACCCCCAACCCCCACAGCAGCCACAGCACGCCCTGCCGGAGAAGAGTCTGAGCTCAGACACACCCCCATCTGGTGGTCTTTCCCCACCCATCTGGTTGCAAAAACAAAGGACATAATCTCTTGGGTGCTCTATAGCCCCACCTACCACCTGATCCTCCCTGTGCAACTACAGATGATGCACTCTTGAAAGTACCACCCCCTGGTTGGAGGCCAACCAACGAGAAACCAGTGCACTAAACAAAAATACAACCAAGAAACCTCAGAGTCCTCTTCGCGCCTCTGCTACCTCCCCTGGAGCAGGTGCTGGTATCCATGGCTGAAAGACCTGAAGAAAGATCACATCACAGGACTCTGCAGACACTTCCCAGTACCAGCCTGGAGCCCAGTAGCTCTGCTGGGTGGCTAGACCCAGAAGAGCAAAAACAATCACTGCAGTTCAGCTCTCATGAAGCCCCATCCCTAGGAGAAGGAGAAGAGCAACACATCAAAGGAGCACACCATGGGACAAGAGAATCTGAACAGCAGCTCTTGAGTCCCAGATATTCCCTCTGACATAGTCTACCAAAATGAGAAGCCAGAAAAACAATTCTGGTAATATGTCAAAACAAGGTTCTTTAACACTCCCAAAAGGTCACACCAGCTCACCAGCAATGGATCCAAACCAAGATGAAATCTTTGAATTGCCAGAAAAAGGAGTCCAAAGGTCAATTATTAAGCTAATTAAGGAGGCACCAGAGAAAGATGAACTCCAACTTGAAGAAATCAAAAACATAATACAGGATGTGAAAGGAAAAATCTTCAGTGAAACAGATAGTATAAATAAAAACCAATTACAACTTCTGGAATCAAGGACACACTTACAGAAATGCAAAATGCATTGGAAAGTCTCAGCAATGCACTCAAACAAGCAGAAGAAAGAATTTCAGAGCTCGAAGACACGGCTTTTGAATTAACCCAATCTGTCAAAGACAAAGAACAAAGAATAAGAAAAAATGGACAAAGACTCCAAGAAGTTTGAGAATATGTTAAGCATCCAAACCTAAGAATAATTGGTGTTCCCAAGGAAGAAGAGAAATCTAAAAGTCTGGAAAAGATATTTGAGGGAATAATCAGGGGAAAATTCCCTGGCCTTGCTAGAAATCTAGTCATCCAAATACAAGAAGCTCAAAGGACACCTGGGAAATTCATCACAAAAAGTCATCACCTAAGCATATAGTCATCAGGTTATTTAAAGTCAAGACAAAGAAAAGAATCTTAATAGCTGTGAGGCAAAAGCATCAGGTAACCTATAAAGTAAAATCTATCAAAATAATGGCAGATTTCTCAGCAGAAACCCTACAAGCTAGAAGGGATTGAGGTCTTATTTTTAGCCTACTTAAACAAAACAACTGTCAGCCAAGAATTTTGTATCCAGTGAAACTAAGCTTCATAAATGAAGGAAAGATACAGTCTTTTCCAGACAAACAAATGCTGAGAGAATTTGCGACTACCAAGCTGTCACTACAAGAACTCCTAAAAGGAGCTCTAAGTCTTAAAACAAATCCTTGAAATATGCCAAAATATAACTTATTTAAAGCATAAGTCTCATAGGACATATATAACAATAACACAATGAAAAAAAAAAACACAAGGTATTCAGGCAACAAATAGCACAATGAATAGAATAGTACCTCCCATCTCAATACTAGCTTTGAATGTACATGGCTTAAATGCTCCAGTTAAAAGATACAGGAAGGCAGTATGAGTAAGAATTCACCAATCAATTTTCTGCTGTCTTCAGGAGACTCACCTAACACATAAGGACTCACATAAACTTAAGATAAAGGAGTGGAAAAATATATTCCATGAAAATGGACATCAAAAGTGAGCAGGAGTAGCTATTCTTATATCAGGCAAAACAAACTTTAAAGCAACGGCAGTTAAAAAACACAATGAAGGACATTATATAATGATAAAAAAATTAGTCCAACAGGAAAATACCACAGTCCTAAATATATATGCACCTAACACTGGAGCTCCCAAATTTATAAAACAATTACTAGTAAACCTAAAAAATGAGATAGATGGCAACACAATAATAGTGGGGGATTTAGTACTCCACTGACAGCACTAGACAGATCATCAAGACAGAAAGTCAACAAACAATGGACTTAAACTATACCCTACAACAAATGGACTCAACAGATATTTACAGAACATTCTACCCAACAACTTCAGAATATACATTCCACTCATCAGCACATGGAACATTCTCCAAGATAGACCATATGATAGGCCACAAAATAAGTCTTAGTAAATTTAAGAAAATCGAAATTATATCAAGTACTCTCTCAGACCACAGTGGAATACAAGTGGAAATCAACTCCAAAAGGAACCTCCCAAACCATGCAAATACATGGAAATTAAATAACCTGCTCCTGAATGATTGTTGGGTTAACAATGAAATCAAGATGGAAACTTAAAAATTCTTTGAACTGAACAAAAATAGTGACACAACCTATCAAAACCTGTGGGATACAGCAAAAGTGGTGCTAAGAGGAAAGTTCATAACATTAAATGCCTATATCAGAAAGTCTGAAGGAGCACAAATAGACAATCTTAGGTCACACCTCATGGAACAGGAGAAACTATAATCCAAACCCAAACCCAGCAGAAGAAAAGAAATAACAAAGATCAGAGCAGAATTAAATGAAATTGAAACAAAAATATATAGAAGATAAATGAAACAAAAAGCTGGTTCTCTGAAAAGATAAATAAAATTGATACCATTAGTGAGATTAACCAAGAAAAGAGAAGATCCAAATAAGCTCCATTAGAAATGAAACAAGAGATGATATGGTTTGGCTCTGTTTCCCCAACCAAACCTCATCTCGGAGCTCTCATAATTCCCATGTGTTGTGGGAGGGACCCGGTGGGAGATAACTGAATTATGGGGGCAGGTCTTTCCTGTGCTATTCTCATGACAGTGAATGAGTCTCACAAGATCCAATGGTTTTAAAAATGGAAGCTCTCTTTTTGCCTCCTGCCATCCACATAAGATGTGACTTGCTCCTCCTTACCTTCTGTCATGATTGTGAGATCTCCCCAGCCATGTGGAACTGTAAGTCCAATTAAACCTCTTTTTCTTCCCAGTCTCCGGTATGTCTTTATCAGCAGTGTGAAAACAGATTAATACAGTAAATTGGTACCAGCAGAGTGGGGCGCTGCAGAAAAGTTACCTGAAAATGTGGAAGTGCCTTTGGAACTGGGTAACAGGCAGAGGTTGGAACAATTTGGAGGGCTCAGAAAAAGACAGGAAAATGTAGGAATGTATGGAACTTCCTAGAGACTTGTTGAATCGCTTTGCCCAAAATGCTGATAGCAGTATGGACAATAAGGTCCAGGCTGAGGTGTTATCAGACAGAGATGAGGAACTTGTTGAGAACTGGAGCAAAGGTGACTTTTGTTATGTCTTAGCAAAAAGACTGGGGGCATTTTGCCCCTGCCCTAGAGATTTATGGAATTTTGAACTTAAGAGAGATGATTTAGAGTATCTGGTGGAAGAAATTTCTAACAGCAAAGCATTCAAGAGGTGACTTGGGTGTTGTTAAAGGCATTCAGTTTCAAAAGGAAAACAGCAAAAAAGTTTGGAAAATTTGCAGCCTGACAATGCAATAGAAAAGAAAATCCCATTTTCTGAGGAGAAATTCAAGCCCACTGCAGAAATTTCCATAAGTAACAAGGAGCCAAATGTTAATCACCAAGACAATGAAGAAAATGTCTCCAGGGCATGTCAGAGACTTTTGTGGAAGTTCCTCCCATTGCAAGCCTGGAATCCCAGGAGGAAAAAGTGGTTCTGTGTGCCGAGCCCAGGATCCCCGTGCTGTGTGCAGCCTAGTGACTGCACCAGCCATGGCTGAAAGGCACCAATGTAGAGCTCAGGCTGTGGCTTCAGAGGGTGCAAGCCTCAAGCCTTGGCAGCTTCCACGTGATGTTGAGCCTGTGAGTGCACAGAGGTCAAGAATTGAGGTTTGGAAACCTCTGCCTAGATTTCAGAGGATATATGGAAATGCCCAGATGCCCAGGCAGAAGTTTGCTGCAGGGGCAGGGTCCTCATGCAGAACATTTGCTAGGGCAGTGCAGAAAGAAAATGTGGGGTCAGAGCCCCCACACAGATTCCCTACTGGGACACTGCCTAGTGGAGCTGTGAGAAGAGGGCCACTGTCCTCCAGATCCCAGAATGGTAGATCCTCTGACAGTTTGTACTGTGCACCTGGAAAAGCTGCAGACACTCAACACCAGCCCTTGAAGGCAGCCAGGAAGGAGGCTATACTCTGCAAAGCCAGCTACGTCTTGTATCAGCGTGACGTGGATGTGAGACACGGAGTCAAAGGAGGTCATTTTGGAACTTTAAGATTTGACTGCCCCTGCTGGATTTCAAACTTGCATGGAGCCTGTAGCCCCTTTGTTTTGGCCAATTTCTCCCATTTGTAATGGCTGTATCTACCCAATCCCTGTACACCCATTGTATCTAGCAAGTAACTAACTTGCTTTTGATTTTCCAGGCTCATAGACAGAAAGAACTTGCCTTATCTTGGATAAGACTTTGGACTGTGGACTTTTGAGTTAATGCTGAAATGAGTTGAGATTTTGGCGGACTGTTGCAAGGCATGATTGGTTTTGAAATGTGAAGATATGAGATTTGAAAGCGTCCAGGGGCAGAATGATATGGCTTGACTCTGTGTCCCCACTGAAATCTCATCTTGTAGCTCCCATAATTCCCACATGTTGTGGGAGGGACCTGGTGGGAGATGAGTGAATTATGGGGTCGGGTCTTTCCCGTGTTATTCTCATGATAGTGAATGCGTCTCCCAAGATCTGATGGTTTTAAAGAGGAAGTTGCCCAGCACAAGCTCTCTTTTGACCTCCTGCCATCCATGTAAGATATGACTTGATCCTCCTTGCCTTCTGCCATGATTGTGAGGCCTCCCAGCCATGTGGAACTGTAAGCCCAATAAACCTCTTTCTTTTATAAATTACCCAGTCTCAGGTATGTTTTTATCAGCAGCATGAAAACAGACTAATACAGGAGACATTACAACTGATACCACAGAAATACAAAAGATCATTCAAGGCTACTATGAACAGTTTTATGCACATAAACTAGAAAGCCTAGAAGAGATGTATACATTCCTGGAACTATACAACCCTTCTAAATTAAACCAGGAAGAAATAGAAACTCTGAATCAACCAATAACAAGCAGTGAGATTGAAGTGATAATAAAAAATTGCCAACCAAAAAAAAAGTCCAAGACCAGACAGATTCACAGGTGAATTCTATTAGACATTCAAAGAAAAATTGGTACTAATCCTATTGACACTATTTCACAAGACAGAGAAAGAGAGAGCGCTCCCTAAATCATTCTATGAAGCCAGTATCACCCTAATACCACAACCAGGGAAGGACATAACAAAAGAAGAAAATTATAGACCAATATCCCTAATAAACCTAGATGCAAAAATCCTCAACAAAATACTAGGTAACTGAATCCAACAGCATATCAAAAAGATAATCCACCAAGATCAAGTGTGTTTCATACCAGGGATGCAGAGATGGTTTAATATTCACAAGTCAATAAATGTGATACACCACATAAACAGAATTAAAAGCAAAAATCACATGATCATCTCAATAGATGCAGAAAATGCATTTGACAAAATTCAGCATTGTTTTATGATTAAAACCCTCAGTAAAATGGGCATACAAGGGATATACCTCAGTGTAATAAAAGCCATCTAGGACAGACCTACAGCCAACATCATTCTGAACACAGAAAAGTTGAGAGCATTCCCCCTGAGAACTGGAACAAGACAAGGATGGCCACATTCACCACTTTTATTCAACCTAACACTGGAAGTCCGAGCCAGAGCAATTAGACAAGAGAAAGAAATAAAGGGCATCCAAATTGGTAAAGAGGAAGCCAAACTGTCACTGTTTGCTGATGATACAATTATATATTTATAAAACTCTAGAGACTCCTACAAAAATCTCCTAGAACTGATAAATGAATTCAGCAAAGTTTCAGGATACAAAATTAATGTACACAAATCAGTAGCTCTGCTATACACCGACAGTGACCAAGCTGAGAGATCAAATAAAAAACTCAACCCCTTTCACAACAGCTGAAAAATAAAACAAAATACTTAGGAATATACCTCACCAAGGACATTAAAGACCTCTACAAGGAAAGCTACAAAACACTACTGAAAGAAATTATAGACGACACAAACAAATAGAAACACATCTCATTCTTACGGATGGGTAGAATGAATATTGTGAAAATGACCATACTGCCAAAAGCAATCTACAAATTCAATGCAATTCCCATCAAAATACCACCATCATTCTTCACAGAACTTGAAAAAAAACTTCTAAAATTCATATGGAACGAAAAAAGAGCCCACATATCCAAAATAAGACTAAACATAAAGAACAAATCTGGAGGCATCACATTACCCAACTTCAAACTATATTATAAGGCCATAGTCACCGAAACAGCATGGTACTGGTATAAAAATAGGCACATAGACCAATAGAACAGAATAGAGAACCCAGAAATAAGTCAAATACAGACAACTGATCTTCAACAAAGCAAACAAAACATAAAGTGGGGAAAGGACACCCTATTCAACAAATGGTGCTGGGATAATTGGCAAACCACGTGTAAAAGAGTAAATTGGATCCTCATCTCTCACCTTATACAAAAATTAACCCAAGTTGGATCAAAGACTTAAATCTAAGACATGAAACCATAAAAATTCTAGAAGATAACATCAGAAAAAAACCCTCCTATACATCTGCTTTGGCAAAGATTTCATGACCAAGAACCCAAAAGCAAATGCAACAAAAACAAAGATAAATAGATGGAATTTAATTAAACTAAAAAGTTTCTGCACAGCAAAAGAAATAATCAGCAGAGTTAACAGACAACCCACACAGTGGGAGAAAATCTTCACATTCCACACGTCTGACAAAGGACTAATGTCCAGTATCTACAAAGAACTCAAATAAATCTGCAAAATAATAATAATAATAATAATACTCCCATCAAAAAGTGGACTAAGGACATGAATAGGCCATTATCAAAAGAAGATACACAAATGGTCAACAAGCATATGAAAAAATGCTCAGCATCACTAATTATCAGGGAAATGCAAATCAAAACCACAATGTGATACCACCTCACTCCTGCAAGAATGGCCATAATAAAAAAATAAAAAAATAAAATAATAGATGTTGGCCTGGCTGTGGTGAAGGAGAACACTTTTACACTGTTGGTGGGAATGTAAACTAGTAAAACCACTGTGGAAAACAGTGTGGAGATTCCTTAAAGAACTAAAAGTAGAACTGCCATTTGATCCAGCAATCCCACTCCTGGTATCTACCCAGAGGAAAAGAGGTGATTATATGAAAAAGATACTTGCACACGCATGTTTATAGCAGCACAATTTGCAAAAATATAGAATCAGCCCAAATGCCCATCAATCAATGAGTGGATAAAGAAAATGTGGTACATATACAACATGGAACACTACTCAGCCATAAAAAGGAACAAAATAATGGCATTTGCAGCAATCTGCATGGAATTGGAGACTATTATTTTAAGTGAAGTAACTCAGGAATGGAAAACCAAACATTGTATGCTCTCATAATTGAGAGCTGAGCTATGAGGACTGAAAGGCATAAGAATGATACAGTGGACTTTGGGGACTTGGGAAAAAGGGTGGGAGGGGATGAGGGATAAAAGACTCCACATTGGGTACAGTGTACACTGCTTGAGTGATGATGCACCAAAATCTCAGAAATCACCACTAAAGAACTTATTCATGTAGCCAAACACCACCTGTTCCCATAAAACCTATTGAAATAAAAAATAAATTAAAAAAGAAAGATATACAAATGAACACACACACAAAAGAAAATGATATTTTTTCTTTCTTTCTTTCTTTCTTTCTTTCTTTCCTTTCTTTCTTTCTTTTACTGTTTTTACAAAAAAGAAGAAAAGAAGAGACTTTATTTTCATAAATTCCTCCAAAGCAAGCCCTGGACTGTAGCCGATTATAAGTCACTTTTTGAGAAGGATCAAAGCAAAACAACAATTGTGGATGACAAAAGTTTTAGGACAGCCATAGTCAAAGACACCATTGACAAGGAAATTTGCTTATTTCTGTGGCATACAACAATTTAACATAATCATAATTATTACTGAAAACATATATCAAGACATATCAGATTTTCAGGAATGTCATACAATACTAGAACATATATGAACAACATGTCTATATAAATATAACCCAAAGAAAGCTAAATACCACCTTACATTTGACAAGGCTTACTGTGTACTAACATAACAAATAAGTCTAATAAGCCTACTATATCTCTCTTGGACTTCAGGGAACCTAATCTCCAAAAAAGTTAGTTTAAGGTCAAAAAGTTTGAAGCTAGAACTATTAATTTTAATATTGGAAAGTCAGTCAAATATCAAAGTTTTAAGACACTTGATATGACAAAACAGGATCATGAGTCACTATAGAATAGTCCTTAATTTAGCTACAGTGATAAAAACATTTACCATTTAATAGAGAGGAGATTCTGCTTCCCAAACAGTAAGACCGAATAAAGACAGCATGAGGCCAACTAAATCTGTCTCTCCTGTTCCATTTTCTCCCTGCAGTTTACTCAAGTAAACAAAATCTTTTGTCTTTTAATATTACACATTTTGTTCAGAAGAGAAAACCATATTTTACCTTTGTATGGTGTATTATTAATGCTAAAGCTAATTTTAACAAAACCTTATAAACAACAAAACATAAATAAATATACAACTACTATTGTGCTACAATCACCTACAGAATTTACTACAGTAACATGCTGTACCAGTTTGCAGCCTAGAAGCAATAGGCTATACCATATAGCCTAGTTGTGTAGTAGGCTATACCATCTAGGTTTGTGTAAGTAAACTATGTTTGCACAATGACAAAATTGTCTAGTGACACATTTCTCAGAACATCACCCCATCATTAAGTGAACATGACTATATATCATATATATACACACACATACATATATGCTGAGTAAATTATATGCAACTTAAATATTTAAAAAATGAGTAAAAAAAGGAATCAGAAAAAGTTATTCTAAGAGGAGAGAATGTAGGTGAAAGAACAGTCATTAATGGGTCTGGTGTTTTGGTTAATTATTTAAAACTTAGCATAGCAATACATTTTAAGTGAATGGAAGATTAGAGGAAGAATGGAGAAAGATAAATCTGGAAAGATGTGGGGAGAAGGGCAGATTGTTAAGGGCATTTTGACTATGTAAGGAGTTAGATTTTGATCCTATAGTCTGGGCAAAGGAAACTAACAGAAGTTTCTAAAGAAAATGGTGTGATCAGGTTTGTATGAGTCCAGTGCCAGGGACAACATTGGTTAGATCAAAGAAAGCCTAAAATAAGACCGTGATAGTGAGGGGGAGAGGAGGAGTCAGATTCAATAGATACATTTTAGAGATGAAGAGAGCCAGGGATGACATGTTTAGTTTAGCAGCCTGAGTGAATTGTGTTACAATTTAATGGGTTTTAGCATCCAAGACAGAACTGATTTCAGAGGGAAAAATAATGAATTTCATTCTACAGATGTTGATATCTCTACAACAGTTGTTAATAAACATTGTTATTAGGGCAGAATATAACCTAAACTAAGAAAAATATCTGAGCCTGCTCATTCTAGGCCCAGCCAAGAACTAGATGGGTCATGTTCCATCAAAAATGCCTAAGAAAATAATACATATACCTCTTTCTAAATAAGCCTGGAAAGTTTCCTTAATTTACCCACAACAACTCAATTTCTCTTTTCCCTTGTATTTCTAAAGCTTTTTGTTTCAAGTATTTTAATGCCGTATTATTTTTCATAAAGGATCACGACTGCTGGAAATGCAATGAGAATTGTTCCCTTTAAAATGTAAAAAAAGCACCTTTTGTCTTATTTAATGTCTGAAACAAAGATTGTATGCTTGTCTTTTCTATTTGCCTTTATGTTAAAAAAATGCTTGCTTGCCCTTTTATATTAAACTTTTCTGTATCATTTGGTTCTAGGTGTGTCTCTTGTAAAACAGTATATAGTCAGATTTTAAATCTAAGAGTCTTTGCCTTTTTTTTTTTTTTTTTTTTTTTTTGAGATGGAGTCTCGCTCTGTCACCCAGGCTGGAGTGCAGTGGCATGATCTTGGCTCACTGCAAGCTCTGCAGCCCGGGTTCAAGCCATTCTCCTGCCTCAGCCTTCCAAGTAGCTGGGACTACAGGCGCCCACCACCAAGCCCGGCTAATTTTTTTGTATTTTTAGTAGAGACGGGGTGTCACCGTGTTAGCCAGGATGGTCTCAATCTCCTGACCTCGGCCTCCCAAAGTGCTGGGATTACAGGCATGAGCCAACACACCCGGCCGAGTCTTTGCCTTTTAATAGAGTATAAAGAGTATAAAGTATTTGTATTTTCTTGCTGTTTATTTTTTTGATTTGGATTGATAGATACTGCATTTGCTTTCTTCTGACCGAGGGATGTGAAACATATATATTTATTTTTACTTCCCCTTAGTAACAATATTTGAATTTTTCCAAAACATCTTTTAACTTAAATTCCTCTGTATATTACAGTCACTAATAAATGAATCTTTCCAATTCTCCCACATGTAAGCAAGGGGCACATCTAGATTACGTAACCTAGGTTTTAATTTGTCTATTGGGCCAGTACAGTGCTTTTTACAACAGTATTTGGTAAAGTTATTTGATATATTGACGGTCACTGGCAAATTAATAAGCATTAACACAGGGAGAAAATGCTTATTTGATGTAAGGGGAACATATTCGGAAAAAGTAAAAACTTACTGCTTAAAACAATATCTGGTTAAGCCTTTTGGCCTGAACCTCCATTTTCCAGTAATTCACCAAAATGACAAACATAAAGAGAAAAACACAAGGTACCTGCTATATGTTTTTCAGGCCTTTTGGAAAACATGGAGTTGCTCCTTTAGGTACATAAGTGGGAATCTACAAGAAAGGTGATATTGTAGACATCAAGGGAATAGATATTGTTCAAAACGGAATGCCCTGCAAGAGTTGCCATCCAAAACTGGAAGAGTCTACAATGTTCCCCAGCATGCTGCTGGCAATGTTGTCAGCAAACAAGGTAAGGGCAAGGTTCTTGCCAAGCGAATTAATATACATGTTCAGCATTTTAAGCACTTGAAGAGCCAAGATAGCATCCTGAAACATGTGAAAGAAAATAATCAGAAAAAGAAGGAAGCCAGGCCAGGCATGGTGGCTCATGCCTGTAATCCCAGCACTTTGAGAGACCAAAGCAGACGAATCACTTGAGCTCAGGAGTTTGAGACCAGCCTGGCCAACTTGGTGAAACCCCATCTCTACTAAAAATACAAAAATTAGTTGGGTGCGGTGGTGGGCACCTGTATTCCCAGCTACTTGGGAGGCTGAGACAGGAGAATCACTTAAACCCAGGAGGCGGAGGTTGCAGTGAGCCTAGGTCGTGCCACTGCACTCCAGCCTGGATGAGAAAGCAAGACTCTGTCTCAAGAAAAAAAAAAAAAAAAAAGAAGGAAGACAAAGAGAAAGGTACCTGGGTTCAAGGGAAGCCCCAGCCTGCTTCGAGAAGCACACTTTGTGAGACCCAGTGGAAAGTAGCCTGAGCTGCTGGAGCCCATTCCGTACGAATTCACAGCAGAATCGCTGTAAGAAGAATAAAGGCCTCTGGGCTGTAAAAAATAAATAAAGTCTATTTGAGTGATAATATTGTTTTTTGTTTGTTTGTTTTGTTTTCTTCCCTTTAATTTAACTGAGGATATAGGGAGAGAACGCATTTTTATTCTAAGCTAAATTGAGAGTACCAGTATAGTGACTGCAGTTCAATATTCAAATAGTTGAATTTTCTTGACCAAACAAAAAAAGATTCAAATTAACTTACCAAATTTCATGTATTGAGGGTGAATTGTAAGCTTCATTTTCAGCTCAGACTCCAGAAACTGACTTTGTTAATTGAGACAATTAAGAATCACCAAGGGTATAATTGCCCCTTTCATTTTGCTTTGGGAAGAAGAGAGTGATTTATCTCAGAAAACAAGGGCCAAAGAGAAGGAGAAGATTTTGGTTAAAGAGGAACACCAGGAAAACTGTTTTATAATCAACTCATCTCAACAGATGATAAAAAACCTTCAGTGCCTCCCCCGGACAGTAGAAATTATAGAATATCTGAAATCAGTTGTTTTAAAAATCTCTGGTCTACTTTGGCAAAGCAAAAGATCTTGTCAGCCATCTATGCCACCTGCTACCTTTGGCCAATGCTTAAAACACACACACACACACACACACACACGTGAGTACCAGAATCAACCAAAAAACTAGTGTTGGTTTTAGGGGGATGACAATAATATTATCATTCAAATCCATAGTGTCAAAAACCTTCTAGATTTTGGACTACCTGGGGGACCTAGAGTAAACCACTCTTAAACAGTTAACTTAGTGTATATCATCTGTATAGATTATATCAGTATAATTGCAGTGATCAAATTTTGTAAATATCACATTTGAATACTGTTGAGGCTTTGATAATTGTGAGTCTGATGTAATGATATACTTGTGAGTCTGATATACTAATGGCACAAACCTGTGGAGATATCTGAAAACATGAACTTTAAAGCTTTTATGATTCTACCATTTGAATATATCATATGATATAATATAAATTTTCTTATGAAAATTTAACAGACTATAACTATTAAAAAAACAAACTTTGTTTTTAAATTTTCATAAGAAGGCTGACCATATGAATCCTAAAAAGACAAGGAATCCATTATGGAATGAGTTATCAATATTTGCTGTGTCTACCTGACACCAAAGTACAAAATTTAATCAGATGTGTTTTTTCTACACAAGGCCACCCATCTGGCTGTGGAATCTCCCGGTTTCTCATTGTTCTTCCCATAAATAATATTTTGCTTGGTAAGAATGAACAATTATTTTTATCGCTCATCTTCAAAACAATGCAATACCTTCTAGTCCTCTGGGATCAATTTCAATATTATTTTAGAAATCTATGAACCATAGAATAGGTTGCATTGCATTTGACTTTTGATTTGTTAGACTAAATTAAAGTAATTTAAGTAAGAAAAAAATAATTTTTTTCTATGACCTCTGCAAGTGTTCCATGCAAGCTGTAAATTTTCAAAACTGGCATAAACATTTAGCTAAAACTTATTATACCTTGATCTGCCTAGCTCTGCCCTTGATCTGAGCAGAAATATGAGAGATGCCCTGTGTCAAGATATGAAAAATGATGCAAAAAGGAGGGAAAATTAGATCTTTATAAGCTAAGACTGAGGAAAGAAAAGTGTGAAATTGGAAAAGACAACATTTCTGCAGCCCATCCTTCCTGCTAAATCATCTGCCCTAGTGAAAGGAGACCTTCAAGTGAACTCTTTGAAGGCCTACAGGCGAATTTCTTGGTCTGTTCATGAGAACTGCTCATCTCCGGAGAAGGCCAGATTTAAATTTCTAGGTCTGTATTCAGCAAATGCTTGATGCAGAAAATGAAAGTTTGCTATTAAACTTTGGTCAGTTTGTTATTACTTTGCTATAATTTCAGCATCACTTTGAATTTAACAAGCACTAAAAATGTGTTAGAGGTCCCTGGAGGCACATGGCACCGCACCACAATTTATTTTACAGACATTCCTTCAAAATATTAATAAAGAGCCACCAGACTAATCAATTTGGTCCAACCTTTTTTCTTGCCACAAAGGAACACAGGGTTGCTGATAACGATGGTCCACCCTATATTTAAGTGTCATTAAAATCAGCTCTATGCAAGCCTAAAATGCCAGCCATTTATGTTTTAGAAAACAAGTGCAGAGTAAATTTGTCTAAACGTCTCAGCTAAAATGAATATATTACCAAAAATCATCTTTCTAGTCCTTGCTCATTAACACTTGGCCAAGATTCATTTATCAGAAAATATAGTCTGCATCTGGAACCCTGAAAAAATGAGGTGCAATAAAGACTAGTATGTGGCAGTTAGAAACTCATGGGAATTAAGGCCATCAGGAAAAGGGACACAATGAGGGTCGTGGCCAAACAGGGAATATCTGGGATGATAAGGCAGGTGGTTAAATATGAAAATAGAGGCAGAATTCTTCATGGGTTTACCTGTATTTTCTTAGCTACAAGTGGATTCTTCCCTTCCCAAATGTTATTAAGCAACCAAACATAACCTGGAATGAAGTTAGTCCTTTAATTTTGTTATAAATCCTTTATGCAGAGAAATAATTTAACACCACTTGTAGACTTATAACAGTGGGCTCTTGGCCAGGCATGGTAGCTTACACCTGTAATCCCAGAACTTTAAGAGGCTGAGGTAGGAGGATTGCTTTGAGGTCAGCAGTTCGAGACCAGCCTGGGTGACACAGCAAAACCCCAATCTCTATTAAAAAAAATAAATAAAAATTAGAGGGGCATGGTGGGCTCCACCTGTAGTCCTAGCTACTAGGAGGCTGAGGTGGAAGGATTGCTTGAACCTAGGAGGTCGAGGTTGCAGTGAGCTAGGATTGTGCCACTGCACTCCAGCCTGGACGACAGAGCACCCTGTCTCTCTCTCTCTCTTTCTTTTTAAGTGGATTTTTATAGGCAAGGCTTGGTAATAACTACATTTTTGAAAGTCACTTAGATATGCACTCAGGTCATTCCACTCAAGGTCTCAGAAAACCAAAATGTTCTTACTTTTCAGAAAAAAAATTTTAAACTCTCTGTGACAGCCTGCTCTGATTTTAGTAGCTAGTATTAAATTCTGTTAGGCTTTCAAATTCTTTTGAGACATTGGTAAAAAGCAGCCTTAAAACTCAAGTAGACTCTATGTGTTACCAAAGCCCCAAAACAAAGATATTGCTGAAGAGCCTACTTAGACACGAAGATTGCTAGGATTATATTCAACCTTTAGTCTCCTGAAGAATCACCTAGTTTGTGACACACGCCAATTGTTAGAGCACGAACTTGCGCTGGTGTACTGTCAGGTTCTGAGAGCTCACCTTCTATTTCCACATCATTCTTCCCTAGTCTCAACTATCTTTTAAGGCACCGTTATTTCTGAAAAAAAAAAAAAAAAATCTCTCCATTCCTTTGATAAAAAATTAAATTTATTATGGCATGAAAATTGGTTTGTGCCTTTCTGCACTCATAACATCTCAGAAATCTTTTGAACAATGAACTCAATGTGTGAAGTCATCATACAAAATTAGAGAGGTGGGGAGAATAGGATTTGTTACACTAAATTATTTTTAAATTGTATTTGAAGAAGAGTAACTTTTGTAAACACTTTAGCAACTACAAAATGTCTGCACTTCAGATTAAAATGAAGTCTTTCCAGTTGAATGCTTTATTAATTAGAGAGAGGGGACAGTTGTTGGAGTAGCAATTATTTAATCCCACAGAAGTTAACTACTCTAGGAGAAAGGGATCAGTCTTATTGACCATCTGTTATGGGGAAAGCATTAAACTTGGCATGTTAAGTACTCATCTTAATTAATTCTCACAACCTTCTGAGATAGGCATTTGCTTCCATTTTACAGGACAGGAAACTGAGGCTTAAAAAGGTTAAGTAGCTTCTTCAAGATCCTTCATCAAATAAACAGCAATCAGGATTGTGACTGAGGTCTTTCTGACTAGGAATCTTGTGCTCTTTATATTATATAGAGTTGTTGAAATAAAATGGGATTAGGCACATGGGTTCTGATAAAAATTAGATGTGACAGAATTTTTGAACAGTGTAATCTAATAGGAGATAAATTCTGTCTTACATATTTTAACTGAATCTCTTTCAGGGCTAGTTTAGAAATATCAGAATAGCAATGTTCGAGAGATAAAATATAATATCAACCTACAGTTGTATTTCTTCTGGATCCAATTTTTTGCATGTTTCTGTAAACATACAAAGATTATTTAAAATTTTCTATTTTTAAGCTATGGAAAAATACTGGCTGGCTATTACTGAACCATTTTCCCTTTCCTCCTGGCTATTTAAATGGACTACAATTTGAAGCCACCATTGTATTTAGATGTGGCCAAATGACTGATTTCTTGCCAACAGAATGTGGGTGAATATGATTGCCTCATTTCCAGGCATGATCCATAAATCCTCCCCAAAGGCAAAACCCAGTGTACCCTTAGAAGCCACATGTCAGAGATGAAAGTCTCTGGACCCACAAATAATTGTGTGGGTCAGAGTTCAAAATGTCTGCCAATGCAACAGCATGTCTTTATTTAAGTAAAAAATAGACATTGTATGAAATCAAGTGACTATATGTCCCACTATGCACAGAACAGTTTCAGTTTACACTGCTTATCCCAGTGTATTTATTAAGAGCTCTCCCTTTCATTCTTACAATTGCTCCAGCTTGAATAATAAGTGTAGTCTCTGTAGTAATAGGTCACAGAGATTTACATGTTATGACAAATAGCATTACCTTTCCAAAAACATTGGGTTTTATTTGTTGTACATTTATTTTCTTTAGCATACAATGGCTAAGCCAGCTATTTTTATTTTAAAAGTTTAAAAGAAAAACAAAGGCATACACAATAAATTGCAGCATATATGATTTATTCTCTATATTTAAGACTCTTGGCCCGTTTTATTAATGTCTATTTCAATGTGCCCTTAGTAAACAATGAGTATATATATGAATGGAAAGCAAACATATGTATGATTTACTCCCTGGCAAAGATAACCCTGGGTTTAGTGCCTGGTATATAATAGTACTTAATTAAATATTTCCTCCTAATGCTATGTTATCATTTCTATTATTTTTCTATTTTTGTTTTATTATTACTTTTAATAAACTGCTGATTAAAAATATAAATTAATACAATGTTTTTAAAAAGTAATCTGATAAAATTATTTAATCAGTGTTCATTATCTATGTCTAAGTAATCTAATTTCTAAAAACCTGTCCCCTTCAATTGAAAATGAGAGATATACAATTCACAATAATCTACACACAAATGGGACTTATTAGTCTAAGTAATTGAGAATTCCAAGAATAAATTTTCTATAGGCAACAATGAATAAGGGATCAATAACGTTACAGGGAAGTCTATATTTCTCTGCATCTCTTAACTTTTCCTTTCTCTGTACGTTCACCTCATTCCATGGAAACATTTTATCTTCAAGGCTAAGGATGTACATCACATCCTCACAGTTCAGCAATCCCAACGTAATAAATCCGTCTTCCATGACGGTTCCATCGACAAAGTCTCAGGGAGCACTCCATGTCACTGGGTGTGGTACCCATGCCCATCATTGAACCATCCCTGAGAGATGAGAATGGGTTATTCTGACTGTCTAACTTGATCTGGTTACCACTCCAGTGGTGGTGTTGGTTGGGTGGGGGTGGTGCATTAGGCTAAATTGCCCCATCAGAGACACACTAAGTGGGGGAGGGGGAGTTTCTGAAAGGAAGCAAAAAGGAGCAGACAGACAATTCCACAACATATCACTATAGATAGATATGGAAGCAAAGATATAAGATATGAACACAAAGATGTTTGTTACATTTTTCTGTTGGTAAAAATTTATAACAATTTCATATCAAGCAATGGGGGATTTTTAAATGATTAATAATATATGTATAAAATTTAAGATTATACAAGGAACAAAATCATGGCTTTGATAAATACTTAATAATATGGAAAATGTTCACAATATATTAGTGTAATAATTTTATGTGTCAAATTGACTGGGCCATGGGGTGCCTAGATATTTGATTGAACATTATTCTGGATGTGTCTGTGAGGGTGTTTCTAAATATGATTAACATCTGAACCAGCAGACTAAAAGAAGCAGATTACCTTTCCCATGGGGAAAATTGGATGGCAGGCTTCAGCCAATCCACTGGAGGCCTAAATCAAACAAAAATTTGGGTAAGGGAGATTTCACTTATCTCTGCATTATTGTCTTTAGGCTGGCATATTGTTCTCCTACCTTTCAGACTCAGAGTTGGACTGAAATTTATACCATCAGCTGCCCTGGTTCTCAGGCCTTTAGAGTGGGACTGGAACTCTATCATTGAGTCTCCTGGGTCTCCAGCTCACTGGCTGCAGATGATGGGATTTCTCAGCCTCGATAATCTTATGAGCCAATTTCTTATTTAACATTAGTTAATTAGTTAATTTCTCATTTAACTAATCTTTATTTTTCAAATTTTCAAACACTAGCCAATTTGTTGTCTTTTAAAATGCTTTTAAACGATATTGTCTATGTATTAGGGTTCTCCCGAAAGATAGAACCAATAGGAGATATATAGAGATACAATATAGAGATACAATTACAGATATAAATCGAGATATAGATATACATGTACACATACATCTATGAAAGGGGTTTATTAGGAGAATTATGAGAGACTCATGACAAGCTATCTGCAAGCTGAAGAACCAGGGAAGACATTAGTGTGGCTCAGTCCATGTCCGAAAGTCTCAGAATTAGGGAAGCCAATGGTGTAATTCTCGGTCTGAGGCTGAAGGGCCGAGGGGCTGGGTGGGGTGCTGGTGCAAGTAAAGTTCAAAAGCCAAAGAACCTGGAGTTCTGGTGTCAAAGGGCAGGAGAAGAGGGGTGTCCCAGCTCCAGGAGAGAGAGCTTGAGAGAGAGAGGAACAAAGAGAAAGAATTTGCCTTTCCTCCTTTAGTCCTATCTGGGCCTTAGGCAATGGGATGGTGCCTACCCTCACTGGGTGAGGGCAGATCTTCCTTACTCAGTCTACTGAATCAGTGCTGATCTCTTCCAGAAATACCCTTACAGACACACCCAGAAATAGTGCTTTACCAGCTATCTGGGAATCCCATGATCCAGTCAAGTTGACCCCTAAAATTTACCATCACAGTATATGCATCTGCTTTTGTATCATAAAGAGGAATATAATAAATAACCATTTTATTAAGATAAAATAAGGTTCTTGAAACAGTGGATGAAATAGTTTGTAAAATACTTCAAAAGAATGCTATTTAGAGGTTGATTTTTAATGGGAAGTGGGGCATAGGAAGGGAGAGAATTGTGAAAAACAAACAGTATTTTAGGATGACTCCCAGATTTCTATATTGGTTGACTAAATATATGGTAACGTTATTAACTAGTTAATGAAGAAGCAGGATTCCGTTTGAAGATGAGAGTGAGATAAGATAAAGAGTTTAGTTTCAGACACAGCAAATTCAAGGAGACTATTGGTTTTCCAGCAGATGTGTCCAAAAAAAATATTTAATACATAGTTTGAAGTTCCAGGGAGAAGTTGGCTGGAGATAGAAATTTGTGAGCAATCAGTATGCAGATTTTAGTTGAATCTATAAAAGCTTGTGTGGAGAGGGCAGAATAGGATGGAAATCATAGAGAGTTCTGACACGCAGTGAAGTGTGAGAGGAAGGAATAGAAAGAAGATGCTGCATTGTCAGAAAGGTAAAAGGAGAGACAGGAAAGAGTTCTGTAAAATGATGTAAAAGGGTAGACAGTTTCAAGAATAGATAGCGGCCAACAGCCACTTCTTCATTGAAAATTTATGCTTCTCCTTCTTTAGTAAAAAGTTGCCACTGACCCAGCAAGAAATACATTCCCCAGCCTCATGTGTATTTTGGTGGTGCCATTTTACTAGTTTCAATCAATAGAATGTGAGTACCAAGGCAATTGAAACAGAGGTATGCCACCTCTGTCCTCTTATTCCATTTCTAAGAGCTGGAAGCAGAGGACTACAAGATCCTAACTCATGACAGAGCAACAATAAGGAAAGAGAGAGGGTCCCTGAGTCATCACACAGAGGAAAGCCATCCTCACCTAAAAAACACCCATGTCAGACTATGATGTGAGCAAGAAATAAATTATTCTGCCAAGGTTCTAAAATTTTGGGGGGGTGTTATTATAACTACTATTGTCATAAGTAAAATATGAACTGAAAATTGTCTGTTGAATTTGACTGCTAGGAAATGATTGCTAACACAGGGATGGTTAGATAGTAGGCACACAGAGATGCAAAGTCAAGGAAGTTTTTTGTTCTAATATTAGGACCCACGGAGATTTAATCTTTTTTTTAACAGGCTGAGCACAAGCCATGAGAGAGAGAATGAGTCTGTAGAACAGAGAGGAAATTATCCATAGAGCAAAGGTCATGGAGGAGTCCTAAGGCCATGGGAGGTAATGACCTTGATCACAAGGATAGACACCTCTTCCAATGACTGTCAGAGGTTGGAGGAAGTGAGAAAAGATGAATAAATGCAGAAGATCAATCTGAGAGGGCACTTGAAGGTTCTAGTAAATATTATAAACATAATCATTGTTGAGCATCAAAGTTGTATATATTTTGGCAATTAAATGCCTGTTGTAATACTCTAAATTTTTCAAAACCCACAAGAAGACACACTGGTATCTATATGCTGTCATTTTCTACTTAATGTTATTGAAAAAGGAACCTCTCACCTTGAGTTTTCTTCAACTTGCTCATTCTTATTTATTCTCCTTTGAAGGTGATACATAAGATAAAGATCCCTTCCCACAAAACAACGTTACCAAAGATCTAACATCAAATACTGTCCCTAGAAGAGAACTGTATATTAAGAGTAATTCTTTAGTTTTCAGACACTACTTTCTGACTAAGAGAAACATGACAAGGCAATGCGATTATTCGTCTTCGGGTTTGCGATATTTCTGACTTACAGATATATTTATCTCTACACAGCCTCACCGTGGGACTGAATGTAATCAAACTAAACTAAAAATGTCCCCAAGTGCTGGAAATGATAGAAATAAATGAGGCAATAGAGAACAGGAAGTGATGGGGTAGGGGAAAGAGAAAGAAAAGCCATGTTCAGTTTCTTCATTACATTCAGCTTCTTAAAGCAGTGGTCTGCATGTCTGGCCTAAGCCCCCATTTTTATGTATTATTACATTTTCACTATAATGCCTTTTGATCATTTATAATAGAAGTGTGTGTCTGTGTGACTAATGTGAGACAATCTTTGTTAAATGAACAAGATTTATGCTCATGAAGCAACTGTATTGTTTCACAGATAGTCGTTCTAAGCCTTCTCTCTGTGTATTTTTCCTCTTGGATCATGGGCAAGTCCCATAGCTTTTCTGGCCCCCTCACTAGAAAAGTCTCATTTCAGATTTGAAAATAGCTAGACCAATGAAATAAGTACAATTTGTAAGATCCTTCAAGTTAAAGCTGTCTGCAGCTCAGGTCTGATGCAGGCAAGGAAGCCTTGAGTGCAGAGCTCAGCGTGTCCAGCTTGCTCCAGCATGTTCTAACTCAAGTTCCTGGACCCTCACCAGCCAGCATGAAAGAAGTGGAAGATAGTTTGTGGGCAAAGAGCACATGCTTAGGGTGCAGATGCAGTCATGATATGCTCTTGATTCCTTCTAAACAGAGAGCACGGTACAATCATCCCTTACTTTCCGGATGCTTTCTTGTGGGTTTGGGGTTTGTTTGTTTGTTAGCGGGGAGGAAGAAGCGGAACTCTATCTGTGCCTTTCTAAGGTAGATTGTGCCAATCCTCGCGCTGTCTTTAGGCTTTCCTCCCTCAGCCTGTTGGCATCCAGCAACCCACCTCACTCATGACTCTTGGAGGTCCTTCTGTTCTTCCAGGCAGTGTGCTTGGGCTCTGTCGCCACTGGGCCCACAAGGAAACTCTCTCTCTCTTATCCAGCACCTTGGTTGCAAATCTTCTTCCAGGACCGCCATTTTTCTTTGATACCAGGCGGGGGCACCCCTACCGCTAGTCTGCTGGCAGGAGGCAACAGTAGTCCTCCACTTCCAGAACACATTTGTCAAGCCTTCCAGTTGGCTCTCTTAAAGCTCCTGAAAACTTTTTCCTAGGGATTCTCATTCTCCCTTTCTCTTCATGTACACACTCTCATTCTGGCTCTTGCTCTTGCTCTCTCTCAAATTTCCACCGTTTTATAGGCTGGAAGTGTTTACCCTTGGCATCTGCTACGTGTCCTTCCTTAGGGACATAGAGTTACTTGGCAGTTCTTATGTCCTTATCACCTTTGAGACAAGACACAAGGACATAAAAGCCCCACTGCAGCATCCTAATACATTCATTTACTTAACTTCCCTCCTCTAGACTAGAAGCTCGCCAAGGGCAGAGACTTTGTGCACTACCGTGTTCCTCAGCACCTGACATGGTGTCTGGTACATAGTAAGTGCTCAATAAATATTTGTTAGATGAATAAATTCTGTTCTATTTATTCATTTCTGAAATAAAGCTCTTTTCTTTTTCTTTTCTTTTCTTTTTTTTTTTTAGAGACAGATTCTTGCTTTATTGCCCAAGTTGGAACACATTAGCATGATCATAGCTCACTGCAGCCTCAAACTCCTGAGCTCAAGTGATCCTCCCACCTCAGCCTCCCAAGTGGCTGGGACTACATTATGATGGGCTCTTTTTTTTGTTATTTTTTTTTGTAGAGACAAGGTCTCACTATGCTTGCTGTGTAGCCCAGGCTGGTCTCAAACTCCTGGCCTCAAGTAATCCTCCCGCCTTGACCACCCAAAGTGCTGGGATTGCAGGCATAAGCAGGCCTATTCTTATGGCTGCCCAAAGCCCAAATTAGCCACAGGAAGGTATGGTCTGACTTTAAGAATGGAAGCATTTTATTTCTTTTTGTCACACAATGATTAGCTCTTATATAGACTTGCACAAATTAGAGAACTCTTCACTATTTTTTTGTTAGCATGGGCTTAAATAAGGTGATATTAAATGAAATAATTTGACTGACAGAGGAGATTTTAAAGATCACCTAGCTACTCGGCTTAAAAAAAGAGATTGAAGGACTTGTGCTAAGTCTCAAGAACAGCTAGTTCTTGGCAGGGTAGAAGGCGGAACACAAAATTGCTCTCAGTTCAACAAGACAGTATGTTCCTTTTATTGAACACCAGGCAGTATCCATACTACCTCAGAAAGTACTTGCAAACCAGATCAAGTTAAGGTTTTTGTTTTGAACATAATTAGATGCTTCTTATTGGCAGACCTCATCATTTGTAATTTATCGGAATAGTGGAAATGTTTTAAAAATGTATGACTTTCTTATACAATTCTAACCAAACTGGACATATTGATTGACTGACTGACACTGAAGTTTACAAAATGATTTTTTTTTCAAGAGATTTAAAGTAATTATTTGAGATGTAAGTCTGATCCTGGCAAAACTGTATTTCTATAACTTTGCCACCAGTTGCTGTCTTCAATAAAAATCTATTTATACCCTGTAACATAGAGAGTTTTCTCTCTCTCCATAGAATTCCTATGGAAATTGCAGCTGGAACTGAAACCCTTCTAAGGCAGTGATGAGTTATCACTAGCTCTTGTAACCTGCTGAGTATATTTCTTATCCCTGCTGTTAGATTATAAGCAATATGTAGACATTTGATCCCACTTTGTATCTTCTTACAGCACCTAGTACAGAATGGATATTTATTAATATGTTTGCTGAATAAATGCACCAACATTTAAAGTCTGTGGAGTTTCTCTCTTGGGGCTACTACTCCATCTTCTTTAAGTATTATATTAACAGTATCTCAGAAAATGTAAATATTAAAAGTAACAGGAAATCCCTTGGAAATTCAGAATATTTCTTTATAAACAAATTGTCTAACTTTTCTTCCAAGTTTGACTTTTTTTATCATTTTATGGTATTCGTAGACTTGTCTTTAATATTCCCACTACAGGAATTATTGTCCTTAGCCAGAAAATGCACAAAATTTTGTTTTGGACTTACAGGTCTTGTAGGGGATGAAAAGTTACCTTCTCTGGCTCATCACCAAGTTCATGGCTGAAGTCCCTATAACAAAAGACAGATTAATGAGAGAAAAATTATACAAAATTATTTAATATAAGTTTTATGTGACATGGGAACCATAAGAATTGAATACACAAATAGGAAAAACTGTATTTTTAATGCCAGTTTTGGTGTTTTGTTTTTTGAGACAGAGTCTCACTCTGTCACCCAGGCTGGAGTGCAGTGGTGCGATCTCGGCTCACTGCAACCTCCGCCTCCTGGGGCCAAACGATTCTCCTGTGTGAGCCTCTCAAGTAGCTAGGACTACAGGCATGCCCCACCGATCCCGGCTAATTTTTGTATTTTTAGTTGAGATGGGGTTTGATCAGGTTGGCAAGGCTGGTCTCAAGCTCTTGGACTCAAGTGATCTGCCTGCCTCAGCATCCCACAATGCTGGGATTACAGGTATGAGCCACTGTGCCTAGCTGCTTAATGCCAGTTTTGATGAAGAAATGGATAGTCATGGAGAAGTGTGATTGAACAAAGGGGGTATGATCCAACGGTAATAAGCTGGGGGTACTTAGCAAGGCCTATTTGTTCACATTATTATCTGTGTCCCTGTGTTCTTGTGTGTTATTTGTGTCCCTGTGTCTTCCAGGTATAGGAAGGGCACCTCTAGAATGAGGGTCTTATGACCTGTTTCAGGGGAGAAGGGACAGGGAAGATGAGAATAATATTCCTGCTTCTACTGTTTTCTCAAATGCTGACGTGCCATATTTTGGTGTACTATGTTCTGAACCCCATCAAACTCATACCAGGTTACTGACATTTAATGACTTTCTGAACTCACACTATGCACCAGTTCTTCTATTCGACAATGTTGGAGCAGGAAAGCATCTGATGTGTCTAAGGCACAGGTCTTTTTCAGCTGGGTTTGAATGCTACTTCTTCCTTTTACTGATTTATGATGTTGTCAATTTAATTAGTGTCCCTAAATCTTAATTTACCCTTTGATAAAGTGGACATGATAGCAGAAACTATCTCATAGGGTAGTCAGGATGAATAAGAAAATGAAATCTATAAAGCATTGGGCATGTTGCTTGATTCCTACTAAGTACTCAGTACAATGTGTTAAAATGTTTGGTCATAATTGTCAGAATTTAACCAATTTCATTATGCTGATTGTACCTTCTTGACCTAAAGATAATGAATTACAAGAGATTGTATTTAAATAATTCAAGATGATACTCTGAGCACCACCGTATATAAGGGATGATGATAGGTTTCTATGAATGTATAGTTTTGTAAGGGATACCCACATATACAATCAAGTACAGGGAGGACAATTATAGCCATAGTTGGCAAAGTCAAGGTTCTTATAAATGATTTGCAGTTCAGAGGAGAAAGGGGTCAATTTATGCCAAACGCTGGTAAGAGACTGGTAAGAGACTGGTTCAAAGAGGGCTTCACTGGGGAGGGGACGTAAGAGCTGGGACTTGAAAGGTAAAGAGGACTTGGAGAGGAAATAATAGGAAGAATGGTACTGTCACCCAAGGAATCATGCAAGGAGAGGCTTGAAGGAAAACACAAGGAATGTTTGTTGAGCCTCCTGATGTTCATGGAGTATGGTGGCAGCTCAGAGTTTGAAGGTAGATTGATGGGCAGCCACAGAGTTCCGAATGTCTCACCACAGGACCATGGCCTGTATTCTGAAGACAATCAGAATCCATTGCAGATTTTGGAAGCACCATTCTGGTAGTAAAAGATAAGTAGAGGGAGGGAAAAGATTAAGGAGGAGAAACCATTGAAGTTATGAAAATTAGTAGTACAATTGAGGAGTGATGAAGGCCAGAGCCAAGGCTGTGTTAGAGGAAATAGATAGAAAAGTTAGACTCAGACCACAGATGAGACAGCACCGGAGGCACAGATGTCTGTGAGGTATATGGATAAGATATAAGGAATGCTCTTGTTTCAATGACAATGTAAAGCAGGTAATGACGAAGGAAACCAAAAAGACAAGGTTTGTGTTTGGGGGAGTGGCCAGAGGAGAGGGGAGGAGAGGAGATGATGTTGGTTTGAAAAATGCTAAGTTCAAAGTGTTTAGAGGAAATACAACTGGAAATGTTTAGCTAACAGTTGGATATATGAATCTGGAATTCTAGAAAGAGTTAGGTTAGAAATAGAGATGCAGATATGCAAGTCAACTGCATAGAGGTAACATTTGAAACCATGAGAGTAAATGAGAGCACCCCAAAAGAGTATAGAGCTAGAAAGAGACTTCAAATCAAGTCTTAGGAAGTGACTTCCTTAAAGGACAGTTGCTGGAAGAATAAGCAAAGAAATTTTTTAAAAAATGGAGAACTGGGAGAGGCTGGAGTCCTAAAGTCAGAGATGAAAGAGTCCCAAGAGTGAGCTGGGGATAATTTTTCCATGTCCACAGTCACTGCCATAGTTTAGTTCCTCGTATTTCTTGCCTGAATTTCCTGCATGACAGAGGAAATGCTGGCATGAGTTTTGTAAAATAAAAATTTTGTCATGTCCTTTCTTGGCATAAAATCCTTTACTAATTCTCCATAACCTTCAGAATTAAGTATTTGAGGAGCAGAAAATATCCCTCCAGTACCAACCACTTGCTTACCTTTACATCATCAGTCACCATTCCTCTCCTTTATAACCTAAGTTTTTCTTGAAGTTCTCAAAATTATCTGTTCTTTCTCCTGATCTGACCGTCCAATATGCTTCTTTTGCATGGAACGTCCTCCCCTGATCCAAAAAATCTGTTCACCTTCAAGCCTCAGCTGAGGTGTCATTTGTTTCTATCTAACCTTCCCCACTCCTACTCACACTCATTGTGTCCAACACACACACACACACACACACAGAGTTGGGATTAAACATCTCTCTAATGTGTTTCCACAATACCCTAAAACAGGAATTGTAGCACTTTAAACTTAATAATAATTGTATTTGCAGCTGCAATGACCATGTGCCAGACATTACACCAAACATACCATACACCACATCACATTTTATGCTCTAAACAAATCTACAAAGTACTTTTGTTATCCCTGCTTTACAAAAGAGAAAAAAACCACACTAGCAATGATATAGAGTGACAAATGCACGAGATTATTCATCAAGACATTATTTGTGATGGTAAAAGATTGGAGAAAATCCAAACACCTATCAATAGAGGATTGGTTGAATAAATTATGGCATAGACACAACACACAAGGAAATATTATACAATGTATAAAAGGAATAAGGAGGTTTCTTATTACCATGGAGTAATTGCTGAGATATATTTTTAAGTTAAAATAAAGCAAGGTGCAGAAAATTTGATAAAGAAAACGTTGGAAGGAAAACCAAAAACAAACAAATACAAATGGTTACCTATGCCGTGAGAGAAGAAACAACGTGAAGGGTACAGGAATACAAAGATTTCTTTGGATATACCTTGCTACACAGTTTCAGCTTGGGAATCATGTAAATAATGTGTATATTTTTAAAATTTAAAAGAGCTTTCTCTAAAAATAAGTAAAAATAAATAAATGTAGTTGTATACAAAATTAATAAAACAATATAACAAAGAAAACAATCACGTGACATTAGAATACAATATTTGATTACATCTCCACATTGGAATATTTTCTGAAGACAAATAGAGCTGTAAAAATATGTGAAACTTTGTTCAGTAATTTTATTGTTAGCATTAGGTTGGTGCAAAAGTAATTTCAGTTTCTTTGTAATAGTACCGATAGTAATTTTGGTACTAACACCCTAAGATTATATATAAAAATACATACACACATATGTATAGACGTACTATATATATATAATTTTTTATATATACTAACTATACTCAATACACATATATTTCTCTTACACTGAAAACTAAGAATTTCATTGTGTTAGAAAAGAAATAAAAGTATAAAATTAAAGAAATTAGAAAAATCAGCATGAACATGTGTTTTTTTTTTCAAAAATATGTATTTCTTAAATATGTTCACTGTAAGAAGCAATAAGAATCCAGTAAAATAAATTCTGGCCCAATTTCTTTTACTGGCCCCTAGATTTTGGTGCCTAAATATCATTTCCCACAATAGGACCAATAGCTAATTCTAGATCTGAAAAAATATACCAACTGAGCCTGGGAGCCTTTTTTTGGGGCAGGAAAAGAAGGAAGCAATTAAAGTCCTGTGGAATTATTTAAGAATAACACTAAAGCCAACCTAAAGAGGCTTTCTTTGGACTGAGATAGAAAAATTGGAGAATCAAAATGAATTAAGAGCTTAAAAGCAATAATTCCAGCAGCAATGAACATACCTAGCACCTAGATCTTGGTTTCTAATACCGTTTTCTAAAAAAAAAAGCAACCAGAGCTCCTTAGAGAAAGAGCTTATTCAGAACTAAGGAAGGAACTTTATAAGATGAGCCTGGAGCATCTAGTAGTGCCAGAAGGTAAGGCAATGTTCACAAACAAACAAACAAACAAAAATTCACAGCAATAGGAGTATGTCAAATAGACACAGGAACTCACTGAAAGAGCTCCCAAAAGTCAAAGTTGGAACTATTTAAGCAATAAGATAAAGTAGTGATTGATTATAACCTAAAATCTGAAATAAATACATTAGTCTTTACTGAAATAAATGATCAAAAAATAGAGACAAATCTCCCATGCGAAAGAATTCTAGATAATTTTGTAATACTCTACCATTAAATGTGGATGGCATATGGTGAATTCCTTCCACAGAATACAATATGGAAAGGCAGAAAAAAAGAGTGACTTTACACTGCAGAAATCTAAAAAACACTGCATCCACCAGGTGATCAAGGACATCAACAGTGATCAGTTATGTTGATTGCATGTATCCTTGATAAGATGTGATGAAATGGAATTTTCCACTTTGGTCTTCCTCTCAGAAATCCATAATCTCAGTATAATCATGAAAAGGATATTAGACAAATTCCACTGGGGAACATTTACAGAATATCTGACCAGCACTCTGTTAAGATTATCAAAAACAAGTCTAAAAAACTCTTACAGCCCAGGGGAGCTTAAGGAGAGACATCACAACCAAATGTTATGTGGTATCCTGGATGGGATCCTAGAACAGAAAAAGGGTATCAGGTAAAAACTAAGGAAATATGAATAAAATATGCATTTTAATTAATAATAATGAATCAATAGTGTTTCATTAATCGTGGTAAATGATCCACATTAATGTAAGATGTTAATAATAGGGAGAATTGTGTATGGAGTATATGGGAATTCTCTGCAATTTTTTTGTGTAAACCTAAAGTTATGGCTACATTTCATTTACATATGTGAATATATCAAAATCTTTGACTTAATAATGACAAGAGAGAATGAAAAAATACCTGAGACTGGGTAATTTATAAGGAAAAGAGGTTTAATTGGCTCACAGTTCTGCAGGCTATAGGAAGCATGATGCTGCCATCTGCTTAGCTTCAGAGGAGGCCCCAGAAACTTACAATCACTGTGGTAGGTAAAGGGGGAGCAGGCACCTCACATGGCCAGAGCAGGAGGAGCAAGAGAGCAAGGGGGAAGGTATTATGCACTTACAAATGACCAGATCTCACAAGCACTCACTTACTCACTATCATGAGGACAGTACCAAGAGGACAATACTAAACCATTTATGAAAAATCTTCCCACATGATCCAATTATTTACCACTGGGCCCCACCTCCAACATTGGAGATTACAACTGAACATGAGATTTGGATGGGAGATCACAGATCCAAACCATATTAGCCCCACTCATCACTATTAGAGATAACTAGGGCATTAGTTACTATGAACACTGACAATTTGTAGAAAAAGAAATAGTCATTTATCTTGCTTGTCTGTATAAATTGTATTTCAGGGCAACCAAATAGTCCTAAATGATGTAAGGAAGTTATATTTTTAGATAAATTGTGGCTAACACATGTAGTAGGAAAAATACAATTAGAAACCACCATCATGCAAGCCTCAATGAGATAATGGATTCCAGCAATAATCATCAGTGGATACAATCACTATATAAAAGTAGATTGAAACATTCCAATAAACAATTCTGGCTGTTCTGTTAAAAGCAGAAAATCAAAAACCTAGTTCCTCCTTATCTGGTATAATATGAATCCCACAGAATCTTCTACTAAGTACTCCAGCTGAAAAAAAATATATACACCTAGACTCCTTAAAAGTCTAGAGCTGGCTTCTATTTATAGAAATTATGGGACATAAAAGAGCAAATTAAATGACACACAAGGAAGCAATCAAACAAATCCAAGCTGTGGGAAATTCTACAAGAAAACAACTAATCCAGTGTCAGTGGTAAGTCGATTGCATGAAAAAAAAAAGAGAAAAGGATCAAGGTAGGTAAAGAACTAAAACAATCAAATGTGATTTGTGAACATTGAATTCTGATTCAAACATATCAAACGTAAAAAGATATTTTTAGAAAGTCTGGGAAATTTAGTATGAACTTATTACTAAATCATAACAAAAATATTACGTTTGCATTTATTATATGTGATAATGGCATTAAGATTATATAGGAAAAAGTTTGCATGTTGTATAGATGCATACTGAAGTACGTAGGAGTGAAATGGAATGAGATCTGAGATTTGCTTTGAAATTCCTCAGTAAAGCAAAGGAAGGAAGAAAGGTCAGGAAGGAGGAGGGGAGAGAAGAAAAGAATGACAGAGGAAGCCCAAATGGCAAAACCTTGCTAATTCGGGAATCTGGGTTATGGCTATAATGAAGTTCATATTGTACTTTTGTCTTTTGTGTATGCTTGAAATTGTCTATTAAAAATATTTTTTTGCCATAGAAATTAATGCTTTAAGCCTCATATCCAGAAATGCAGATGCTGATATTTTTCAGGATTTTTCCCTATCTCAGTAGTATATGACACTCTGCACTGAAATAAATTTTTTTTCCTCCACTTTTATTTTAGATTTAGGTGTTACATGTCCAGGTTTGTTACATGGGTAAGTTGTGTTTCACTGGGGCTTAGCATATGAATGAGCCTGTCATTCAGGTAGTGAACATAGTACCCAATAACTAGCCTTCCAATCCATGCCCCCCTCTAATCTCTTTCTTCAAGCAATTCCCAGTGTCTATTGTTCCCATCCTTGTGTCCATGTGCTGTCAATGTTTAGCTCCCACTTATAAGTGAGAACATGCATTATTTGGTTTTCTGTTCCTACATTAGTTCATTTAAGATAATGGCCTCCAGCTGTATCTATGTTGCTGCAAAGGACATGATTTCATTCTTTTCTATGGCTGCATCATATTCCATGGTGTATATGAACCACATTTTCTTTATCCAGTCCACTGTTGATGGGCATCTTGGTTAATTCCACGGCTTTGTTATTGTGAATATGGCTTCAATGAACATATGAGTGCAGGTACCTTTTGGTAGAACGATTTATTTTCCTTTGGGTGTATACCCAGTAGTAGGATTGCTGGGTCAAATAGTAGTTCTGTTTTAAGTTCTTTGAGAAATATACACGCTGCTTTTCACAGTGGCTGAACTAATTTACATTCTTACCAGTAGTGTATAATTGTTCTTTTTTCCCCACAGCCTCACCAGCATCTGTTCTTTTTTGACTTTTTAATAATTGCCATGCTGCCTGGCATGAGATGGTATCTCACTGTGGTTTTGATTTGCATTTCTCTAATGATTAGTGATAATGAGCATTTTCTCATATATTTGTGGGCCACATATATGTCTTCTTTTCGGAAGTGTCTATTCATGCCCTTTGCCCATTTTTTAATAGGGTTATAGAACGAAGCTGGAGACATCACATTATCCAACTTCAAACTATACTACAAGGCTACAGTAAGCAAACAGCATGTTACTGGCACAAAAACAGACACATAGACCAAAAGAACAGAAAAGAGAACCCAGAAATAAAACCACTCGCCTACAACCACCTGATCTTCAACAAAGTCAACAGTAACAAACAGCGGGAAAAGGACTCCCTGTTCAAGAAATGGTTCAGGGATAATTGGCTAGCCATATGCAGAAGATTGAAACAGGACCGCTTCCTTTCAGTATATACAAAAATTAACACAAGATGGATTAAAGACTTAAATGTAAGCCCTTAAGCAATAAAACCCTTAGAAGAAAACCTAGGATATACCATTCTGGACATCAGCCTTGGTGAAGAATTTATGACTCAGTTCCCAAATGCAATTACAATAAAAACAAAATTTGACAATTAGGACCTAATTAAACTAAGGTGCTTCTTCACAGCAAAAGAAACTATCAACAGAGTAAACAGACAACATACAGAATGGGAGAAAATTTTCACAAACTTTGCATTCAACAAAGGTCTGATATCCAGAATCTATAAGGAACTTAAACAATTCAACAAACAAAAAGCAAACCCATTGAAATAATGTTTTAAGAAATTGTATTTTACTGTTAGACAAGTCATTCAGTATATACGAACTCTCACTGAAAACAGAGAACTAGAGTAGGAATTTAATAACTAAAGTAACACACAGGATACAAAAGAATGCAGGCCTTAAAAATCCATTAACAGTTACCCTTATATTTTTTTCAATCAACAATGTCTTGATTCTCATTTTGTTAAAGCAAAGGATTTGGTCTTTAGTAATGGATTTAGATGCTAGAGAAAAATTACCAATTTTACTGCGTATGTAATAATCTTTAAAATCTCTGAGTAAAAAAAAAGTATTTAATTACATCTTATTCCTCTACCCCTACCACTTGAAGTACTCACTCTGAAATGACATTAGAGCGTCTTTGAGATGGTTGCAGGTAAAGTAACCATTGCATTTTTCTTTATCAATCTTGGTCATTACGTCTTCTTGATAAAGGATCAAAAAGCATTTTTTGGTATGTCTCAAACATCCGAGTAGTAAATATTCTCTCACACTCTTCAAGTAGGAGTTATACCTAAACCACAAAATAGTTATTTTTCCTTAATGTTAACATGAAATAAGCAGCAATTCCAAAAGTGATGAATAACCACAAAATGAAATCTAAGTGTGAAATTTAACATAAGAGAACATAAGGTATCTCCAAGGTAGTTTTCCCAAATCAATCATGTTTTTTAATCTATTCTAATTCAGGTACTTGCAATTGTGAATATACAACACAAATGTAACTTTCTAAATGCCTTAGGCATTGATGAAATTAGCCACTCATTTCGTATCAATAAATCATTGTTGATTTATTAGTCATATATTGTGCTGCACTTGACAGCTTCCAAAGCTCTTATTCATGCATTAACCCATTTTCAGCTCACAATAAGCTGTTGAGCACACTCAGATGATTATGTTCATTTCACACCTAGGAAAATGGCTTTTCAGAGGATTCGAAACCAGTCTGTGGGTCTATTGCTAATGGCAATGGGGAAACTGGGACACAAATTTAGAACTTGAAGCCTATAGTTGAATCAGACATACTTTTACAATACCATGATGCTCAACATAAGGAATAGTCCCTGACACAGCTGAGACTATAACACAATCAGACAAACAGTCTCTTACAGACTCCTAACCTAATTTGTTACAAGCCAAACAAGTGAAATTCTTCAGAATAATACAAGACAAGAATTCAGAAGTGGTCCCAAAACAGAGCATAATGCATTTCCAAATGAATGAAGAAGAAATGTTTACTGACTTACCCTATTTTATTGTCAATGTCCTTAACTTTATAAAATATAATAGGAAGAAAGAGATATGTCATATGTTAAGGTTGTTAAATTTCTGTACCTCTTATAAGACACCACTATGGATTCCTGAGTGATTACAATAATTTCTAGAATTGGCAAAACAATGTGCAAGTAACATGTTGTACATTTCTCACTTAGTCCTCAAGACAATTCTGAGAGGTAGCTGTTGTTATTCCTACTTTACAGAAAAAGAAGCTAAATCTTAGATTAAATTAACTTTTCCACGCAAACGTAGCTAGTAACTAGCAGTGAAGTCCAGCACTATCATATGATAAAGTCCAGGGTCCTCACCATAAAACTACACTTTTCCTCCCCTCTCCATCCCTCTCTGCAAATAGTAGTAACAGTATCATTCCAAAAACAACATAATTATTTTTTGTTTTCTGTAGATAGAAATCTTCAAATTGAATTATTTATTTATTCAGTATATTTGTATTGTGTCTCTTCCTTGTGCATAGAAATATATTACATGGTTCCTGCTGTAAAAGATTTGCTCTCTATTTGAGAGGATGACACGAAGAAAGAGAAAGAGGGAGATAGAGATCGTAGTATAGAACTACTACTACTATTTGTACCACTAATAATAATAATTGCTACTCAACAGTGGAATCTTATTATGTTGTTGTGTTTTTTTGTTTTTCTGTTGTTTTGTTGTTTTGTTTTGTTTTTTTGAGACGGAGTCTCACTCTGTCACCCAGGCTGGACTGCAGTGAGGCAATCTCAGCTCACTGAAACCTCCGCCTCCCAGGTTCAAGCAATTCTCTGCCTCAGCCTCCTAAGTAGCTGGGATTACAGGCGCCCACCACCATGCCCAGCTAATTTCTGTATTTTTAGTAGAGACAGTGTTTCACCATCTGGCCAGGCTGGTCTTGAACTCCTGATCTCGTGATCTGCCTGCCTCAGTTTCCCAAAGTGCTGGGATTACAAGCTTGAGCCACCGCACCCAGCCCCATGCCCAGATGTTTTAAATGCATATCATGTGTAAACTCATTTAATTCTCACAGTCTTATGATAGTTAGACAAATCAATCATTTATCTGATTGAATATTATGTTGGCTTATGTTTCAAGTTAACACTAAGATTTCCTAATTTTTGAAATGGTATAATAATAGTTCACTTTCTTATAAATCTGAACCTAAATAGTAATTTTAATGAAGTCATTATAGATATTCTTATTTTAAGTAATTCTCAACTATGTAGCTTTATAAGGTCAATATCAAGTTATTCATTAATTTAATAAAAGTCATTGAATATCAATATATGGACAACTTTAGGCAAGTTGCTATTAAGCTTCCTTAAGTGTGACCCAAGCACCTTAAAGGGGCTTATCATCTAGCAATGTAAAGATCCAACATGTGTGTATAACATCCCAGATGATGCAATATGCCACTGCCTACTTGTTTCTCATGCCTCTGCCTCCCTCCGCTACTCAGATGTGTCCATTAATAGCTCCACCAAGTACACTCCAGCCTATTATGTTTCCTAAGATAAACAGGTAAAACGACAGACAGCTGGGCTCGCCACTGGGTAGGTCTTGGTAAATAGTGGCATCCTAGATCTAAATGTTGAGTCATGCAATATATTCATTCACTATGTATTGAGCACCTACTATGAGCACAGTTATAGGCCCTGAGAACACAGCAGTAAACAAAACAAAGCCCCTGCCCTCATGAAGCAGCATCTTGAACAAAATAAGAGAATAAATTGTGTGGACATATTCACATATGCACACAAGATAAATAGTAAGTTCAAAGGCCTTAATGGGAACATGTTTGGCCTGTTTTTAAGCTGGAGTCAAAGCAGGAGGGCAAGTGTTTGGAACTGAGGCTGGAGTTAAGCAGGAGCATGATCGTGCATAGTCAGCTCATGTTGACTCCAAAGGCCATCTAAAACCAAAGGGGGCATGGACATATGCCAATAATAAGTGCCAGTGTGCAGAGAGGTTCCCAAATAACACCCCACAGTTTAGTTTTCCCTTAATTTTAATTCTGTGGTCCACTCAATATCCCCACTCAGAATCCAATCTCAAAACAGTAAATTGGGTATGGAAGCGAGATAGATAACGTTTTAAAGGCAAGCAATGAAGGGAGGAAGGAAGAAATAAGTAATCAATCCAGTACTGTTTATTTAAAATCAGGGATCCATCCTTCAAGTCTGCATAGCTTAAATGGGGTTCAAATATCCTGCTTATCTTTTATTTCTTTTTTCCTGAACTATAATCTAATATTATTCAATATAAATCCCTAATATTTACCTTTCTTCTCTACCCTAAACCACTGTGTTTTATTCATTTTACTCTGGGTTAGTTCCTGATATATGAAAGGTACTCAATGAATGCTGATTGGATTCCTGACTTAATTAACCAATTAAGACACAAATCAGAGGTAGGCTGTGAGGTGCAGAGCTGAAGTGATCTCACAATTACAGCACTCTCTATTGATATTTTTGTCATCCCTGTACCTGGGACTAGACTTCTACCTTGTTTCTTCCTCTGTCATTTGTGTAGTTACTTTTGCTTGCAGTTCAGTTCCTTTACAGGCCTGGAATTGCACCTTAAAACCCAGCTGTTAATTATGAACTGAAAGCCAGTGAATTTTTTTTAAACTTATGTGTTTATTTATTTTACACTTACGTGTTTATTTATTTTACTTTAAGTTCTGGGATACATGTGCAGAACATGCAGGTTTGTTACACAGGTATACAGGTGCCATGGTGGTTTGCTGCACCCATCAACCCTTCATCTAGGTTTTAAGCCACACATGCATTAGGTGTTTGTCCTAATGCTCTCCCTCCCTTTTTCCCCCACCCCTTGACAGGCCTCCGTGTGTGATGTTCCCCTCCCTGTGTCCATCTGTTCTCACTGTTCAACTCCCACTTATGAGTGAGAACATGTGGTGTTTGGTTTTCTGTTCCTGTGTTAGTTTGCTGAGGATGATGGCTTCCAGGTTTATCCATGCCCTGCAAATGACATGATCTCATTTCTTTTTATCACTGCATAGAAGTCCATGGTGTATATGTACCACATTTTCTTTATCCAGTCTGTCACTGATGGGCATTTGGGTTGGTTCCATGACTTTGCTATTGTAAATACTGCTGCAATAAACATATGTGTGCATGTGTCTTTATAGTAGAATAATTTATAATCCTTTGGGTATATACCCAGTAATGGGATTGTTGGGTCAAATAGTCTGGTTCTGGATCATTGAGGAATAGCCATACTGTCATCCACAATGGTTGAACTAATTTACATTCCCAGCAACTGTGTAAAAGCATTCCAATTTCTCCACAGCCTCACAAGCAATGGTTGTTTCTTGACTTTTTAATAATCGCCATTCTGACTCGTGTGAAATGGTATCTCATTGTGGTTTTGACTTGCATTTTTCTAATAATCAGTGATGTTGAGCTTTTTTTCATATGTTTGTTGGCTGTGTAAATATATTTGTTGGCCACATAAATCTTCTTTTTAGAAGTGTCTGTTCATATTATTTGCCCACTTTTTGATGGGGTTGCTTGTTTTTTCTTGTAAATTTGTTAAAGTTCATTGTAAATTCTAGATATTAGCCCTTTGCCAGATGGGTAGATTGCAGAAATTTTCTCCCCTTCTGTAGGTTGCCTGTTCACTCTGATGATACTTTCTTTTGCTGTATGGAAGCTCTTTAGTTTAATTAGACCCCATTTTTCAATTTTGACTTTTGTTGCAATTGCTTTTGGTGTTTTTGTCATGAAGTCTTTGCCCATGCCTATGTCCTGAATGGTATTGCCTAGGTTTTCTTCTTTACATTTAAGGCTTTAATTCATCTTGAGTTAATTTTTGTATAAGGTGTAAGGAAGGGGTCCAATTTCAGTTTTCTGCATATGGCTAGCTGGTTTTCCCAGCACCATTTATTCAATAGGAGATCATTTCCCCATTGCTCGTTTTTGTCAGATTTGTCAAGGATCAGATGGTTGTAGATATGTGGCGTTATTTCTGAGGCCTCTGTTCTGTTCCATTGGTCTATGTGTCTGTTTTGGTACCAGTGCCATGCAGTTTGGTGACTGTAGCCTTGCAGTATAGTTTGAAGGCAGGTAGCATGATGCCTCCAGCTTTGTTCTTTTTGCTTAGGATTGTTTTGGCTATACAGGGTCTTACTTGACTCCATATGAGATTTAAAGTAGTTTTTTCTAATTCTGTGAAGAATGTCAATGGTAATTTGATAGGAATAGTATTGAATCTATAAATTACTTTGGGCAGTACGGCCATTTTCACAATATTGATTCTCCCTATTCATGAGCATGGAATGTTTTTCCATTTGTTTGTATCCTCTCTTATTTCCTTGAGCAGTTATTTGTAGTTCTCCTTGAAGAGGTCCTTCACATCCCTTGTTAGCTATATTCCTAGGTATTTTATCCTTTTTGTAGTGATTGTGAATGAGAGTTCATTCATAATTTGGCTCTCTGTTTGTCTATTGTTGGTGTAAAGGAATGCTTGTGATTTTTGCACATTGATTTTGTATCCTGAGACTTTGCTGAAGTTGCTTGTCACCTTAAGTAGCTTTGGGGCTGAGGGGATGGGATTTTCTAAATATAGAATCATGTAGTCTGCAAACAGAGACAATTTGACTTCCTCACTTCCTATTTGAATATGCTTTATTTCTTTCTCTTGCCTGATTGCCCTGGCCAGAACTTCCAATACTATGTTGAATAGGAGTGGTGAGAGAAGGCATCCTTGTCTTGTGCCGGTTTTCAAAGGGAATGTGTTCAGCTTTTGCCTATTCAATATGATATTGGCTATGGGTTTGTCATAATATAGCTCTTATTATTTTGAGATATGTTCCATCAATACCTAATTTATTGAGAGTTTTTAACATGAAGGGATGTTGAATTTTATCAAAGGCCTTTTCTGCATCTATTGAGATAATCATGTGGTTTTTGTCTTTGGTTCTGTTTATGTGATTGGTTATGTTAATTGATTTGCATATGTTGAACCAGCCTTGCGTGCTAGGGCTGAAGCTGACTTCATTGTGGTGGATAAGTTTTTTGATGTGCTGCTGGATGCAGTTTGCCAGTATTTTATTGAGGATATTCGCTTCAATGTTCATCAAGGATATTGGCCTGAAGTTTTCTTTTTTTTGTTGTGTTTCTGCCAGGTTTTAGTATCAGGATGCTGCTGGCTTCATAAAATGAGTAAGGGAGGAATCCCTCCTTTTCAATTGTTTGGAAGAGTTTCAGAAGGAATGGTACCAGCTCCTCTTTGTACCTCTGATAGAATTTGGCTATGAATCCATCTGGTCCTGGACTTTATTTGGTTGGTACACTATTAATTACTGCCTCAATTTCAGAAATTATTGATCTATTCAGGGATTCAACTTCTTCCTGGTTTAGTCTTGGTAGTATATATGTGTCCAGGAATTTATCCATTTCTTCTAGACTTTCTAGTTTATTTGTGGAGAGGTATTTATAGTATTTTCTGATGGTAGTTTGTACTTCTGTGGGGTCCGTGGTGATATCCCCTTTATCATTTTTTATTGTGTCTAGTTGATTCTTTTCTCTTTTTTCTTTATTAGTCTAGCTTGTGGTCTATCTATTTGTTAATTTTTTCAAAAAATCAGCTCCTGGATTCATTGCATTTTTGGACGGTTCTTCATGCCTCTGCCTTCTTCAGTTCTGCTCTGATCTTAGTTATTTCTTGTCTTCTGCTAGTTTTTGGATTTGTTTGCTCTTGCTTCTCTAGTTATTTTAATTCTGATGTTAGGGTGTCAAATTGAAATCTTTGTAGCTTTCTGATGTGGACATTTAGTGCTATAAATTTCCCTCTTAACACTCCTTTAACTGTGTCCCAGAGATTCTAGTATGTTGTCTCTTTGTTCTCATTGGTTTCAGAGAACTTCTTGATTTCTGCCTTAATTTCACTGTTTACTCAGGAGTCATTCAGGAGCAGGTTGTTCAATTTCCATGTAGTTGTGTAGTTTTGAGTGAGTTTCTTAATCCTGAGTTCTAATTTGAGTGCACTGTGGTCTGAGAGACTGTTATGATTTCAGTTCTTTCGCATTTACTGAGGAATGTTTTACTTCCAATTATGTGGTTGATTTTAGAATAAGTGTGATGTGGAGCTGAAAAGAATGTATATTCTCTTGATTTTGTGTGAAGAGTTCTGTAGATGTCTATTAGGTCCACTTGATCCAGAGCTGAGTTAAAGTCCTGAATATCCTTGTTAATTTTCTGTCTTGTTCGTCTAATATTGACAGTGAGGTGTTAAAGTCTCCCATTACTATTGTGTGGGAGTCTAAGTCTCTTTGTAGGTCTCTAAGAACTTGTTTTATGAATCTGGGTGCTCCTGTATTGGGTGCATATATATTTAAGATAGTTAGCTCTTCTTGTTGAATTGATCCCTGCACCATTATGTAATGGCCTTCTTTGTCTTTTTTGATCTTTGTTGGTTTAAAGTCTGTTTTGTCAGAGACTAGGATTGCAACCTCTGCTTTTTTATTCCCCCTCAATTTGCTTGGTAAATTTTCCTCCATTTCTTTATTTTGAGCCTATGTGTGTCTTTGCATGCGAGACGGGTCTCCTGAATACAACACACCAATGGGTCTTGATTCTTTACCCAGTTTGCTAGTTTGTGTCTTTTCATTGGGGCATTTAGCCCATTTACATTTAAGGTTAATATTGTTATGTATCAATTTGATCCTGTCATCATAATGCTAGCTGGTTATTTTGCACACTAGTTGATGCAGTTTCTTCATAGTGTCATTGTGTTTTTGCAATGGCTGGTGCCAGTTTTTCCCTTCCATATTTACTGCTTCCTTCAGGAGCTTTTGCAAAGCAGGGCTGGTGGTGACAAAAATCCCTCAGCATTTGCTTGTCTGGGAATGATTTTATTTCTCCTTCACTTATGAAGCTTAATTTGGCTGGATATGAAATTCTGGGTTGAAAATTCTTCTCTTTAAGAATATTGAATATTGGCCCCCACTCTCTTCTGGCTTGTTAGGGCTTCTGCAGAGAGATCCACTGTTAGTCTGATGGGTTTCCCATAGGTGACCTGGCCTTTCTCTCTGGCTGCCCTTAACATTGTTTCTTTCATTTCGTCCTTGGAGAATCTGATGATTATGTGTCTTGGGGTTGATCTTCTCATGGAGTATCTTTGTGATGTTCTCTGTATTTCCTGAATTCGAATGTTGGCCTGTCTCGCTATATTGGGGAAGTTCTCCTGGATAATATCCTGAAGTGTGTTTTCCACCTTGGTTCCCTTCTACCATCTCCAAGTTCAGTCTTTGTACATAGTTCCATATTTCTCAGAGGTTTTGTTCATTCCTTTTCACTCTTTTTTCTCTAATCTTGTCTAATGCCTTATTTCAGTAAGTTGATCTTCAATCTCTGATATCCTTTCTTCTATTTGATCGATTTGGCTGTTGATACTTGTTTATGGTTCACGAAGTTCTTGTGCTATGTTTTTCAGCTCCATCAAGTCACTTATGTTCCTCTCTAAACTGGTGATTCTAGTTAGCAACTCCTGTAACATTTTATCAAGGTTCTTAGCTTCTTTGCATTGGGTTAGAACATGCTCCTTTAGGTTAGTGGAGTTTTTTATTACCCACCTTCTGAAGCCTACTCCTGTCAATTCATCCATCTCATCCTCCAACCAGTTCTGCGCCCTTGCTGGAGAGGTGTTGAGATCATTTGGAGGAGAGGAGGCATTCTGGCTTTTGGAATTTTCAACATTTTTGCATTGTTTTTTCCTCATCTTCCTGGATTTATCTACCTTTGATCTTTGGGGCTGATGAACTTTGGATGGATTTTTTTTTTTTATGGGGGGAAGGGATCTTTGTTGTTGTTGTTGTTTTTGCTTTCTGTTTGTTAGTTTTTCTTCTAACAGTCAGGCCCCTTTTCTCCAAGTCTGCTGCAGTTTGCTGAAATTTCACCCCAGACCCTGTTTGCCTGGGTATCACCAGTGGAGGCTGCAGAACAGCAAAGATTGCTGCCTGCTCCTTCCTCTGGAAGCTTCATCCCAGAGGGGCACTGGCCTGATGCCCGCGGGTCTCCTGTATGAGCTGTCTGTCGACCCCTGCTGGGAAGCCTCTCCCAGTCAGGAGGCACAGGGTCAGGGACCCACTTGAGGAGGCAGTCTGTCCCTTAGGAGAGCTGGTGCGCTGCCTTGGGAAAATATCTCCCTTGTCAGGATCAGCCACTCTCTTCAGAGCTGGCAGGCAGGAAAGATTAAGTACCATGAACCTGAGACCACAGCTGCCCCTCCCCCCACCCCAGGTGCTCTATCCCAGGGAGGTGACAGTTCTGTCTGTAAGCCCCTGACTAGAGCTGCTGGATTTCCTGCAGATGCCTTGCCCAGTGAGGAGAAATCTAGAGAAGCAGTCTGACCACAGCCACTTTGCTGTGCTGTGGTGAAATCCACCCAGTCCGAATCTCCCAGTCTCCTTAGCACTGTCAGGAGAAAAACGCCTACTCAAGCCTCAGTAATGGCGGTTGCCCCTCTCCCAACCAAACTCCGTGGTCCCAGGTGGACTCCAGACTGCTGTGCTGGCAGTGGGAATTTCAAGCCAATGGTTCTTAGCTTACTGGGCTCCGGGGGACTGGGAATCGCTGAGTGAGATCACTTGGCTCCCTGGCTTCAGCTGTCTTTCCAGGGGAGTGTACAGTTCTCCTGTCTCACTGGAGTTCCAGGCACCACTGGAGTTCCAGGCACCACTGGAGTATGAAAAAACTCGGGCAGCCCTGTGCCTGCCCCAACAACCGCCCAGTTTTATGCTTGAAACCCGGGGCCCTGGTGTTGTAGGCTCAAGAGGGAATCTCCTGATCTGCGGATTGAAAAAATCTGTGGGAAAAGCATAGTACCCCTGGCAGGTAGCACCGTCCCTCACAGCTTCCCTTGGCTGGGGAGGGAGGTCCCCTGGGTCTATGCACTTCCCACGTGAAGTGACGCCCTACCCTGCCTCTGTTCACTCTCTGTGGGTTGTGCCCACTGCCTAACCAGTCCCAATGAGAAGAACTGGAAGTGCAGAAATCACCTGCCTTCTGCGTTCGTCTCACTGGGAGCTGCCAACCAAAGCTGTTTCTATTCGGCCATCTTGGCCCCTCCCGCCAAGCCAGCTAATTCTTAGCAACCATTCTTACAGAGGGCTAAGGCGTATCTTTTTATTTCCATCCCTTTGGCAAGTGGGCTTGCCCTATTCAAAAATTTCTCAAATCCGTTGCAATACCACTAGACTTCAAGGATGAAAGTTAACCAAAAGTCTGAGTGGGACTTCTTACACCATCTAAAACATACTTGATCTTCACATGTTCTTTGGACACCAAGCTTCAAACCATCACTGCTGTTTGCCATGTAAATATGTCTTTCTCTCCTGTAACTTAAAAATTGAGATCTCTACCAAGCCTCAGCATCTTCTTTTCCAATGTTTATTCAATGCAGAGGAATGGGTACATGCAGGCGGGTCCTTGAAAGATGGAGAGTATTATGAAAATGGAAAGATAGATCAGGATTTAAAGATATTAGAGAAAAAAGAGTAAGCAAAGATACAGAGACAAAAATGCAAATTAATTCCTGCAGGAAACAGAAAGTATTCCTGTTTAGAGCGTTAAGTTTAATTTCAAAGGTTAGACTGAAATGATCAATAACATATGAAAATAGATGACTACACATAAGCTAAATCCTTATATGTAGGAAAATCATGCATATTAATACAAATTACTTTCAAGATGGAATGTTCAAACATAAGCATATTAATACAGTTTATTAAATAAGGCAACAATATGGACAGGGAAACAAGCCCCCAAACTTGCCACTTGCCCCATGAAAGGGATGCAAGTTCCCCACCCTCTAGCCAAACCTGTGACTATTGGGACTGGACTCACCCTCCCCATGGCAGGGTTTCAGTGTAGCAGCAGCTGCCTCTCATCCAAACATTCTGCCAGAGAGGCCTGAAGATCACCCTAACCTGACCTATGATGGCTGGTGCATGCACTCACTTTTGGGGGGCCTAAATGCAAGCTTGCCCAGTCCAACTCTGCCCAGTTTCATCCACCTCAAAACAGAGTATTGGATCCAGAATTGTGGAGGTTCCACAACCCAATCTACCACCTGGGACATCTGAGCACTCCACCTAGGTAACTGAGGTTGGACAAAAACTCCTTACCACTACCACCTCAGCTGGCTCCTACCTGCAACCATCACCAACTGGCCTGGAGGTTGGCCAACACAGCCCATTCCAACCACTACCAACATAAGGGTACACAATGCTTGGGACCTAGAAGAGAATCTCACCATGACTGCTACTGCCATCAGTCATACCACACCGACTTTCCATAGGCTTGAGAGCCTGCTCACTTCCCGCGTACACCACTGCTATAATTGCCACCCGAGAAGGCCACCCAGAGGCCCAAGAACTAGCTTGACTGGAACTGCCAAGTGTCAGCATATGCCACCCCAGGGAAGAAGGATAGATGAGCTTAGTCCACCACCACTGCCACTGAAACCTGAAGATAGGCCCATCTGGCATTCCAATCCCCAGCACAACTATACCACAGCCTCCACCAATAACCCTAGTCTAACACACCAGGGAAACCACAGACACAACTCTAGTCAAGAAAATCATACTTAGATTTCACTATAGCACATACCCAGAAGCAAAAGCAAAGGGCCCTAGCCAACCAATATCAAGGTCACAACTTCAGGAAAAAGTTTCTCTTCTAATGTAAGTAAATTCAAAAATAAGATGTGACTTTTACATCATATGAACAGAAGTCAATGGAAAGACATGGGAAACATGAAAAGAACGAGGTTATATGACACCCTCAAAAGAATACAATAATACTCAGAGAAATTCTTGAAATCCCTGATAAAGAATTAAAAGTACTGATTTTTAAAAAGTTTGATGAGATGCAAGAGAAATCTGAAAGTCAGCACAACTCAGAAAACCAATTCAGGATAAGAATAAAAAATTTATTAAAAAAAAGATATCTTAAAAAAAAACATAAATTCAACAATAGACTAGTCCAAGCAGAAGAAAGATTTCAGAACTTGAAGACGGGTCTTTTGAAATAATCCAATCAGACAAAAAAATAAATTAATTAAACGGAATGTACAAAGCTGCCAAATGGTGACATTGGGACACCATAAAGTGACCAAATTCATGAGTTACCAGTATTCCCAAGGGTAAAGAGAGATCAGAAGGTTTAGAAAACCTATTTAATGAAGTAATAGATGAAAACTTCCCAAGTATAGCAAGAGAATTAGATACTCAGATACGAGAGATTCAGCAATCCTACAGAAAATACAATGCAAAAGACTTCATCACAGTACATTGTAATCAGACTGTCTAAAAGTCAAAGTGAAAGTGCTAATTCTAAAAACAGCAAGAGGAAACTTCCAGTCATCTATAAAAGAAACACCATCAGACCAGCAGCAGACTTCTCAGCAGAAACCTTACAGGTCAGGAGAAAATGGGATGACATATTCAAAATGTCAAAGAAATAAAACTGTTAGTCAAGAATTCTATGTACAACACTATTAACCTCAATAAATGAAGGAGAAATGAAGTCTTTTCCAGACAAACAAATGCTGATGGAATTCATTACCACTAGACTGAAATTACAAAAAGTACTCAAGAGATTCCTAAACTTAGAAACAAAAAGATGACATTCACCATCATGAAAACACTTGAAAGTATAAAATTCACTGGTAATGCAATTACACAAAGAAGGAAGAGAAAGAAATCAAGTGGCAAACATACAGAATTCCAACAAACCACAATGACAAACAGAGAAAAAGAAAGAAACAAAGAATGCATAAAGAACTAGAAAACAATTAACAACATGACAGGAACAAAACTTCATGAATCAATATTAACCTTGTACATAAATGAATTAAATATTCCACTTAGAAATATAGATTGGCTGAATGGATTTTTAAAAACATGATCCAACTATATGCTGCTTTTAGAAACTGACCTTACCTGTAAAGATACATGTAGATGAAAGTAAAGGATGGAAAAAGATGCTCCATGCAAATGGAAACCAAAAGTGAGACAGAATAGGTCTACTTATACAGATAAAACAGACTTTAAATAAAAAACAATAAAGTAAGACACAGAGGTTATTATGTAATGATAGATTAATTCAGCAAGAGGATATAACAATTCTAAATATATATCCACCTAACACTGGAGCACCCAGATTCATAAAACAAATATTACTAGACCTAAGGAGAGAGACAGATAGCAAAACAATAATAGTTGAGGACTTTAACATTCCACTCACAGCATTAGACAGATCATTCAGACAAAAAAAAAGTCAACAAAAAAAAATACTTAAATTAGACTTTTTTTTTTTTTTTTTTTTTTTTTGAGACGGAGTCTCGCTTTGTCACCCAGGCTGGAGTGCAGTGGCGCGATCTCGGCTCACTGCAAGCTCTGCCTCCCGGTTTCACACCATTCTCCTGCCTCAGCCTCCCGAGTAGCTGGGACTACAGGCGCCCACCACCACGCCTGGCTAATTTTTTGTATTTTTAGTAGAGACGGGGTTTCACCATGTTAGCCAGGATGGTCTCGATCTCCTGACCTCATGATCCGCCTGCCTTAGCCTCCCAAAGTGCTGGGATTACAGGTGTGAGCCACCTCCCCCAGCCCTTAAATTAGACTTTAGACCAGGTGGACCTAAAAGACATTGACAGAACATTCTACCCAACAATTGTAGAATATACCTTTTTTTCACCAACACATAGAATATTCTCCAGTATAGATCATATATTAGGACACAAAACAAGCCTCAACAAATTTTTAAAAATTAAAATTATATCAAGCATCTTCTTAGACCATAGTAGAATAAACCTAAAATCAATACCAAGAGGAACTTCAGAAAGTATACAAACACATGGAAATTAAACAACATATCCCCAAATGACTATGTTCAAGTCAAGGAAGAAATTAACACAGAAATTTAACTTTTTTAAACAAATGAAAATGTAAACACAGCATACAAAAACCACTGGGATGCGACAAAAGCAGTGCTAAGAGAGAAGTTTATAGCATTAAATGTCTACGTCAAAATAGTAGAAAGATTACAAATTAACAAGCTAATAATGTACCTCAAGGAACTAGGAAAGCAAAAACAAATGAAACCAAATTTGGCAGAAGAAAAGAAATAACAAAGTTAAGCGCAGAACCAAACAAAATAGAAACTAACAAAACAATACGAAGGATAATGAAATGAAACGCTGATTTTTAAGAGATAAACAAAATTGATGAACCACTAGCTAGACTAACCAAGAAAAGAAGAGAGAAGACCCAAATAAACAAAATTGGCAATGAGAAAGGAAACATTACAATTTATACTACAGAAATACAAAAGATTACCGAAGAATACTGTGAATAATTATATGCTCACAAACTAGAAAACCTACAGGAAATGGATAAATTCCTGGAAACATTCAACTTCCCAAGATTGAACCAGGAAGAAATAGAAAACTTGACCAGACCAATAACAAGTAGTGAAATTGAATCAACAATTTTTAAAAATCCTACAATGAAGAAAAGTCCAGGACCAGATGGATTCACAGCTGAATTCTACCAAACATACCAAGAAGAACTAATACCAATTCTTCTGAAACTTTCCAAAAAATCAAGGAGGAGGGATTTCTCCCTAATTCATTCTATAAGGCCAGTATCACCCTGATAGATGACACACACAAGTAAAAATACAGACCAATATCCCTTATGAACATAGATGCAAAAATCCTCAACAAAATACTAACAAACTGAATCCAACAGCACATTGAAAAGTCAATACACCATAACCAAATGGGTTTTATACTAGGGACACAAGGATGGCTCAAAATACACAAATCAATAAATGTCATATATCATATAAATAAAATCAAGGACAAAAAATATATAATCATCTCACTAGATGCAGAAAAAGCATTGGATAAAATTGAGCATTTCTTCATGATAAAACCCCTCAACAAACTAATCATAGAAGGAGCACAACTCAAAATAATAAAAGCCATATATGAAACCCACAGCTAACATCTTATTGAACAGGGAAGACTTGAAAGCATTTCCCCCAAGAACTGGAACAAACCAAGGATGCCCACTTTCACCCCTCCTACTCAACATAGTAGTGGAGGTTCTAGCCAGAGCCTCAGATAAGAGAAAAAAATAAAAGTCATTCAAACAGGAAAACAGCAAATTAAATAATCCGTGTTTTCTGATGATATAATATTACATATAGAAAAACTTTAAGCTTTTACCAAAAAAATTTTAGATTCGATAATTGATTTTAGTCAAGTTTAAGGATACAAAATCAATGGACAAAAATCAATAGTGTTTCTGTACACCAATGATGATCTAGCTGAGAATGACACCAAGAAGGTAATTTCATTTACAATAGCTTAAAAAAAATACTTAGGAATACATTTAACCAAACAGGTGAAAGATCTCTACAAGGAAAACCATAATACAACAATGGAAGAAATTGTAGATTAAAAAAGCAAATAGAAAAACATTCCATGCTCCTGAATAGAAAGGATGAATATCATTAAAATGACCATACTGCCCAAAGCAATGACTTAATGCAATCCCTACCAAAATACCGCCATCATTTTTCACAGAATTAGAACAAAAATCCTAAAATTTGTATGTAACCAAAAAAGAGACCAAAGAGACAAAGCAATCCTGAGCAAAGAAAGCAAAGCTGGAGGTGTCACATTATCTAACTTCCAATTATATTACAAGACTATAGAAGCCAAAACAGCCTGGTACTGGTATAATAGAAGACGCATCAATCAATGAACAGAATGGAGAACCCAGAAATAAAACCACATCCCTACAACCACCTGATCTTTGACAAAACCAATAGTAACATACTTTGGGGAAAGGAAACCTTTTTTAATAAATGGTGCTGGGAAAATGGGATTGTCATATGCAGAAGAATGAAACTGGACCTTTATCTCTTACCATATACAAAAATCAACACAAGATAAATTAAAAACTTAAATGTAATACCTGAAGCTATAAAAATACTAGAAGAAAACCTGGGGAAAATTCTTCTAAACATTGGTTCAGACAAAGAATTTATGACTAAGACCTCAAAAGCATAGAGAACAAAAATAAAAATTGACAGATTTAAATTAATTAAAATTAAAAGCTCATGCACAGCAACAGAAATAATCAACAAAGTGAATGAACAACCTGTAGAATGGGGAAAACATCTGCAAACTACTCATTCAACAGAAGACTAATATCCAGAATCTATAAGGAACTCAAACAAGTCAACAAGGAAAAAAACACCCCTGTAAAAAGTGGACGAAGGATATGAACATACATTTTTCTTCAAAGAAGACATATGAGTGGCCAATAAACATATGAAAAGATGCTCAAAATTACGAATCATCAGAGAAATGTAAATTAAAATCATATTGAGACACCATTTTTGTTAGAATGCCTAATAATAAAAAGTGAAAACACAACAGATGTTGGCAAGGATATGGAGAAAAGGAAATTCTTACACACTGTTGGGGGGAATGTAAATTAGTACAACCTCTATAGAAATTAGTAGAGCTAAAAATAGAACTACCATTTAATCCAGCTACTATTTAATATATTAGTGAGTATATTTAATATCCACTACTGATTATCTACGTAAGGGAAAAAACATCAATATATCAAAAAGATACATGCACTCATATGTTTATCACAGCACTATTTACAATAGCAAAGATGCAAAATCAACCTAAGTGTCCATCAGTGAGGACTGGATATAGAAAATGTAGTACATATACTCAATGAAATATTTTGCCATAAGAAGGAATGAAATCACATCTTATGCAGCAACATGAATGGAACTGGAGGTCATTATCTTAAGTGAAACAAGCCAGGCACAGAAAGGCAAATATTGTATGTTCACACTCATAAGTGGGTGCCAAAAAATGTGTATACATGGACATAGAGTATGGAATGATAGACGTGGATACTTGAAAGTGTGAGGGGGAAGGACGGGAGTGGATGATGAGAAATTAATGAATGTAACGTAAGTTTTTTGGGTAATGGATCCCCTAAAAGCCCTGACTTGACCACTACACAATCTATGCATGTAACAAAATTCCACGTGTGACCCCATAAATTTTTTCATATCAAAATTTAAGACAATAATATTCTGAGAGTAGAAATGGGGTAACTTTAGATATGGAAGACATTCATTGGCCAAGGACTTGAGGATTATCCTTGGGTGTAGAGTGATAGCTGGTATGAAAATGATAAGGTGTTAAAATATTCAAAGTATCACAAAACAAAATACATGAGTCAGACAAGATCCTCCCCACAGCAGGTTTAGCCTTTCTGATATGTTCAAATATAAGGGTGTCTCCATAAAGGCCACTCTACCACTTAAAATAAATTCTGTTCAGGCTACTGAGGGTGCAAGACACAAGAATTTGGTAAGACAGTTCTGTATTTAAATTTTTACTCCTTTTTTCCAGCAGCTGCAGGGCATTAGGCCATTTCTAAAACCTCTCTAATATTGCTTTCTCCTGGTGGAATATAACTACCTCAGCAGTTGCTAAATGGATCACACAAAATAATCTAAGTACATGTTTCTAACACTGTGCCTGGGATATAATAGATGCACAGCAAATGTCAGTTTTCACTGCCCTCTTAAGAGGAATTATTCTTTCTTATATCTATGTCCATATTAGGATAGTGCACATCTACTTTTACTATTGAATAGAGGACTAAAGCAGAGAATTATTATTGTACTTATACTTTAAACAATTCTATCAACATTAAGAAGAATACTAATAACCATATCATCATAAGGGAAGCAAGACATGAATGCTATGTCATCAATTTTAAGACCTTAAGTTCAGTATGGTAAGATGAGAAGTAAATGAGAGTAATGGGAAAAAAATGAATGGGATAAAAAAGAGCCATGGCAACAAATTCTAAATGAATAAGATGTCCAAAGACATTATCAAGATTTATAATATTACCCCATACGCCCTTTCTTCTTTCTTACTCACATTTTTTTTTTACTTTTGTCCCTTTCCTGCACTTTCCAATTGCAATTTCCTCCATATCAGAAGAACCAGTTCCATACCACATACTGTGCTAGGGACTCAAGATACCACAGGCAGACAAGGTAAATCCATACCCTCAAGAGGCTTAGGCTACCCAGTAGTGAAAGACAACTTTAAAATGTCATGATACATGTTGAAGAGGTTTTACAGAGTGCTATGAGAGCAGAAAATCAAGTGGAGCCTGGTTTTGCTTGAGAAAGGACAGGTACTTCATAGGGGAGGTGACAACAAAACTGAGCCTTGAAGATTGAGTACAAATTACACAACTACACAGGGATATTTGGTTACAGCATGTAACTGTTATTTCTCTTACTGTCATGCACCCAACCATCAATGCTTGTATACATATGCACAAACACACACACACAATCCTTCCTTCACATTCTAATACTTCTCCTATTTTCCAGAGATTTAAAGTTATTGGCGGAGGAAACGATCTAGTCAGGAAACTAATCTGTATCAATTATTGAGAATTCTTGGAACTTAAAGCAGCAAATTTTACTTAAAAGATGATGACAAGTAACTAGTTCTTGTGATTACAGCATTACCAGAAATCTTAGGTTTTCACAGCAGACCTGCTAAGCTGAGATTAAATAAACCAGCAGACCTCAAACTAGAGAGTATATCTGATTCTGTGGGGAGACAATAAACATTCCGATGCACAGGCATTTCACTTCCTTTTGTCCCCATTTCTGAAACCGTGAGGACTTGCTAAATCAAAATTCTGGTGATAGAAATTGAATTTGAGGAACTAAAGAATAAAACTCTCCATGTAAATTAATAGCTTTCTTCTTAGGAAATGCATACCTATGTATATTTCCATTTGCACTTTTACTAAAACAAAATTTTGCTTGCAGAAAAAAATGTTATGCAGACATGCCCTTAGAGAATAATGAGTTTTGATATTTACCAAGGGATGCAAAAATTTTCTTAATGCTAATAAATTAATAATGTTCTAAGCCTCCAAACCACAGGTTGTTAATTTAATGGGATGTTTTCAAAGTAATTCTAATTGTATCTAATTATAAATATTTTGTGTCTACAGTTTCTTAAGAAGAATGTCTTTTTTGCATGATTTCTAAGCATAAGGAACATGAGCAATTTCCAAAAATTATTAGAACAGAATTTTCTTATACTACAAATGTTTTTCTCTCTGTCTCCATTATTACAATATGCTGCATCAAATGCCAACAGCTAATTTTTAAAACCAAGCAAAAAAAAAGGTCAAATAATTTTGTTGTAAAGATGACTATTTTCTAAAAAAAAAAAAAAAAAGAAAGAAAGAAAGAAAGAAAAAGAGCATATTAGAAAAAAAAATCATCTATTAGAAGTAGCTATCCAGATGGAGATGTAACATGAGATGAGCTGTTTTGTTATTACTGTTGCTGTATAATCCAATTATTTTAGTGAGTGATTCTATTGTCTTATATCCTGAAGCTTTAGGAAAATAACTTAAGGGGAGTAAGAATTTCATCCATAGAGATCCAAATCGAGTTAGGCAATATTTTGGATTGGTGTCAATGTGTTTTTGTTTCATCTGTTTAAAAATGCATTGCTGCCAAAGGATGAGTTTTCTACTGCTGCATAAAATTCTGCCACAATCTTAGTGGCTTAAAACAACACACAGTTTTCAGTTTTCAACACACAGTCTCACAGTTTCAGTGGATCAGGAGCCCAGGCTTAGCTTAGTTCAGATTCTAACAAGACTGCAGTCAAGACATTGGCCTGGATGTGTTCTCATTTGGATGCTTGACTGGGGAAGAATTAACTTTCACATTCATCCTTGTTCTTGGCAGAATTTATTAATACTTTCTTTCAGCTGTATGCCTGAGAGCCTCACTTCTTAATAGCTGCTGGCTGGTGACCACACTTAAATCCTAGAAGTCATTCTGAAGCTCCATGTCACATGTTCTTTTCCATGGACATCTTACAACATCATTTGCTTCTTCAAAGCCAACAAGAGAAACTCTATACAGTCTTCTGAGACAGAGTCTAATATAATGTAACATAATCATGAAAGTGGCATTCCATCATCTTTGCCATATTCAATGGCTTAACATGAATCTGTTCCCACTCAAGGGGAGGAGTTTATATAACAGCATGACTCAAGAGGGGTCACCTCAAGGTGTGTCTCCCAAAATCAGAAATTTTACTGAACATTTAAAAATTTACCTATTTATTATCTTCTCTGTGCCCTGTAATATATTTCTTATGAGACCAGGAAAATTCTGTTAAAATTGTTCTTTTTTAAAAAACTATTTTTTATTAATAAAATCTAAGCAGAGAAACTAATCAAATATTTGTTTTAAAAGTTACAGATGAATTAAATACAAACACGTAAACTACACACAAAAGAGTCCATTCATGATTTTTGAATTTTATAATTTTGTGTATTTTTTAATAGTGACTTCAATAACTTACTCTTAGTTGTCTGACTTTGTCAGTTGTCTTGACTTTCTAATAATCACTCCCAACTAAATATATTTAGTAATCATATTAATTATGACATAAACTGAATAGATATAACAAAGAAGCCAGTAATACATTGACTGAAATAAGGCAGAAGTTTTTTCTCACACAACAGACTGGCCAGTATGAATTGGCAGGGCAGCTCACTTGTATAAAGTCATTCAGTGACCTAGGTTTTTTCCTATCTTCTAACCATGTCATATTTTCTTTGCCTGCTTGGCCAAAACAAAGGCATTGTCCATTTTCCAGGAAACAGGAAGGAGGAAAGAGCCAAAGACCAGGGCAGTAAGATCTGTTCACATCCCATTGACTCAAAAGTAGTCGCAGGTTGCACGTAGCTGCAAGGAAGCAGCAATAATCACTGGCTGTATAGTTTTGAACCCAGGACAAAGGGAGAAATGGATTATAAAAAATAACTAGTAGCCTGCAGTAATAGTAAAACAGCTTATCAGAGTTCCTGATTAACACGAACAAATCAAATTACAGGCGTTGCCTGATGACTTGGATCATTGCATCACACCTGGAATGTACAACCATTGTATCACATCTAGAATACAAATGTAGGCCTCCTTCGAAAGGCATGCATTTGCTCACTTACAAAATAAAATTAGTATAGGTTTTCCTGTATTTGCCTTACAATGTTGTTGTGACGAATAATCAGAAGATGATATTTCTTCAATATTGCTCTCTTGAGGTTAATAGGCTGCGTCTAGTATGATAGTTGCACAAAGCCATTATATGAGTAACACAATTTTCTCTTTTGACAAATACAAGATTATTTTTCTCTAGAAAATGAAATAAAAATGTCAACATTCTTCTTTTTCTATAAAACTGTAAGGAATTCTCTTTTTGAATATTCATGGCTTTTAATTTTCAAATTCGTAATTTCCCAAATTGTACCTAATTGTGATTTACCAAAGTATTATGCTCTTGTTTTTACAAGTCTTATTTGGCTTGTTATAGGCAGTATGAGCAAAATTCTTTCTCTGTGTGCAAAATGTTGTGTTGAACAAGTTGTCTCCCTTATAATACAAGTTTCCAGAAGAACTAAGCAAGAGCTCTTCCCCCAGACATAGCAAAATATTATTATGATTATTATTTTCAATCTAAATATTTAACCTCCCCAAATCATCTCTACATGTCTTAAGTGATAATTATAATAGTAAAATATTGTTTTCTCATGTAGTGATTATATACTCCAAAGAGTCCTGGCCCCATTAAAAGAGTATTTTAAGATACGTAAAAGAACAAAGGCACAAGTTTATGATTGTAGATGAAACATGGGTTACTATACCTATACATTAGCTACATAGAAAGCACAAGTGTAAGAAGGGGGAGATGAGGCCAGGCACCGTGGCTTACACCTGTAATCCCAGTACTTTGGGAGGCCAAGGCTGGCGGATCACCTGAGGTCGGGAGTTCGAGACCAGCCTGACCAACATGGAGAAGCTCCGTCTCTATTAAAAATACAAAATTAGCCGGGTGTGATGGCGCATGCCTGCAATCCCAGCTACTCGGGAGGCTGAGTCAGGAGAATTGCTTGAACCCGGGAGGCAGAGGTTGTGAAGAGCCAAGATCACGCCATTGTACTCCAGCCTGGGCAACAAGAGTGAAACTCTGTCAAAAAAAAAAAGGGGTCGGGAGGAGATGATGAAAATAGACATCCAGCCACATGACACTTTAATCCATTGATGTTTAATCTGATCCTGATGCCTCTCCACTCATCATACACACAAAAACGTACCAAGCTGTTTCTCACCTAGTTCTTTGCTCAAACAAGCTTTCCTGTCTGGCTTTCTTTTGTATCCTCTCCTCTTCAAACCAGCTCATACTCATTTTTAACACTCAGTTCAGCTGTTACCTCCTTTGGAGGTCTTTCTGGGCCTCACAGAATGGGTTGGGTCTCCTCACCCCGTAGGTCTCTGATTACATTTACTCTGACGTGTTGATCCCTTTTTGTATCTGTCTCCCCACTAGGCTGGAAACTCCTTGAAGACAGCCATGCATTTTGTTCTTCTTTGTATATAGATGCTTGATACATAATGCACATTGAATAAATGTGTGTTGAAAAATAAATCAATGAATTAAAGAATATTATAATATCTATGACGGAATATAATGCTACATTATGAAATAGTAGGGGTGCTAGATTAGGGGTCTAACTTTTCCAAAATTATTTTCAACATTCATTAAAATAATTATTTCAATGATCTGCATAAAAGGGGAAAGAGTAAATTAATTTGTTTGCATCCATTGAAGTACAGTAAAAAGAAAAAAATTTAGAGAGTAAGTTAATTTGATTAAGCATCTGTTATGTACAGGCACTTTGCTGGCACAAATACATTTTCTCATCCATTCATTCATTCAACAAATATTCAGAGTGCCTACTATGTTCTAGCAGAGTGCCTACTATGTTCTAGATACTATGTATCTATTTTAGAGATACTTAGTAAACAGTGGAAAAAAAAGATAAACCCTGCATTCATGGAGCTTATATGGGAGACAGGAGGAAGTAGGCAGGGAGAGAATAAGACAGAAAGTAAACAAGAAATATAAGTAAAATATATGAAATAGTGCTAAGAAGTATACCAGGAAACATGAATATGAAATGTCATAAGGGCTGAAATTTTAGATTACAGAGGCATGAAGCGCCTCACTGAGAAAATGAATTTGAGTAAAGACCTAAATTAAGTGAAGGTGATGGCCGTGCATCTATCTGAAGGAAAACAAAAGATAGGGCAGGTAAAGGAAGAACTGAGAAAGTTATTTTAGATTTATCAACATGGAGGTCATCATGATTTTTCAGTAGAGAGGTAGAGGTGAAAATCTGAAGTGGGTTCAAGAGAGAATGGGAGGAGAGAATTTGGCAAAGGCAAGTCTAGTTTAATCTTCTCAACAACTCTGAGGTAAGTAGTTGGAGTTCATTTATTGATGAAATTGAAGCTTGAACATGTTAAATAATTTGCAAGAGGCAGAGCCAGGATTCTAATTCAAGCCAAATCTATTTTCCCAAAAGCTCTCCAAGTTATCAAATTGTTCTTGGCAATTGTGATAATCAATGTCAGCTCCACTGCATGATAAACAATTGTTTAATGGTTGATACATAACTGATCATTATTTCAGAAAAAACTATGGTTAACTAGAAAGCCATTAAATGAATGACTACATGAAGACATGGACATTGGTTCCAACACTTGGTAAGGCACACAATTCAACAAAGAATAAGTGTCCTACACAAATACTAGCTCAACAAACTAATCAGATTACAAGATATTCATGCATCGTCCATGCAAAACATTAAAGTAGATTCTACCCATAAGATTAAGAGTCAGTCAGGCTTAGGACCTACTCTCTTTCAAACTAAGAGGAATTACAAATTAGAGTATTGTAATTAGATAGTTGTTTAGGTGCTTTTCTATGTTTTCATTCTTCAAGAGTGTGTGTGTGTGTGTGTGTGTGTGTGTGTGTGTGTATTTACTTTCCTGTAGATTAGATTGTTTTCCTGGTTTTACATACTTGTAATACTTAGAAAATGTGGCAAGGGAGATCCAATTTTATGATGATATATATCAAAGAGATAAAGTAGAAGAATGTTTTTTATTATAAAAGATTTCAAACATAAAAAATATGTAGACAGAATTGTATAACAAATTCCATGTGCAGCAACAGTTACTGGTTCATGACTAATTTTGTTTCTATCCTCACCTACCTCCCTCTCTCACTGTCAGATTATTTTGAAGTAAATAACAGACATCATATTACATCATCTGTGTATGTGTTGGTGTGAGGAGATTTAAACATAAGTCACATGGCTTACTTACACGGTAAGAAGGTAAAAAACATAAGTTCATCATCTTCATTTGTCAGTACCCAAGTTCAAGTTCTATAAGAATAATAGTATCTATGTTAGATGACCACATGACTGAACAAATTCAATCTTGGAACATGCATGTTTTTAACTGCATTTTGATTTTTACTTCTAGGCTACCCCATATTCTGGTTCTATATTCAGTTCTTTCCTATTGTGTCCCCCTGTTCTGGCCAGTTCTCTCTTCTCATTCTCTTTCATTAATACCACATTCAAACTCCTTTTTGTCTCTCTCAGGTCTAGAATACCACTGCCCTTCATTCAAAACCAACACCTCTCTTAAGGTTCAGCTCAAGTACGACATCCTTCAAGAAGTCTTCCTGGAGTAGTTCAACCTCTCCATTTCTTAAATCCTATTGCTGTTATAGTTTAAACTTCACTATTCAAGACTTTACTATATATAATCTCCTGTGTTTGCTTTTCCCACTTGATAAGGAGCTCCTATATACCAAGAATTATAATTTATAGCTGATTTATGGTTTAAACGTCATACCATCTGCCACAGAACTAGTTATGTAGCAAGTGTTTGATAAATATGTATTAATTTATTCATGGATTTAGTGGATCCGGGTATCCACCTGGGACTGGAGATGTTGGGTTGAGTGAGTGTCTTAGCATGTAATATATTCATTTAAATGTTCTAATTGCTAAACTTCTCCTAAAGATATATTTACTAATAACCTAGAGTTTGCTCACACATTTTAAAAAATCAAGACTCTAAACTCTTCAAGATGTGAGATTTACCTAATCATGATAACACTCCTGACTTAGATTTCTTTGCTATTTATTTTTTGTGAAGTCTCTGAAAGTCATCTTTTTAAGAAGTACCAGGAGCACTTGAATGGAAAACTGAATGTTCTCTCTTGTTTCAAGAGAGTTCATCACAAATGCTGAGCTGGGGACAGCCCCTAAAATAGCACTAGTCAATCTATTTCATTTATCTTGCAAGGCATTTGAAGATGGAATATTTTTATGTACTGAACCAATTTGATTTCTCTATATGATTTGCCATTCATATTTTTTCTTTTTCCATTCAAGACTGTGATTTTAATAGTGATGATACATAATGACAAACATGAAGAAAAGTGATTTGAAATATATGTCATTATTATTCTTGACAGAAACAATAGGCTGCTATGAAATTTTGGTATCAAAATTTACTCCATGATAATATTAGGAAGAAAATAAACTATCTTGACTATTTATTAAAATATCTGGAGTAGGTTTTGACAACAGTTAGTGATGATCATTTCCTAGACTAGATACTTCTACATTGCAAATTCCTTTTTGGGCATTTCAACTTCTGTTTAGCCTTTTATCCCCTGATAAAAGGGGATATCTGGATATTAATACTAACTAATATGCATGTGCTTCTTAAGTGCTTGATGGGATAAATTATTCGAGTTATGATGCTAATCGATGCTAATTTCATGAAGGGGCAGAAAAGAAGATACCCCTTTATAATAACATATGGAGGAAAATACTATTCAAATGAGCTGATCACCTGCCAACTTAAATTTTAATACCCAGTAAAAGAAAATAAGTAGGGTAAAGAGGAGGTTGTAAGCTCCCATTGCACTCTTCTCAGATTCTAGAGGGCCTGGATACTGACACTGAACAAACCCACATCTCAGCCTCTAGAGGAAGTAGAGAAATAGCTCTGTGGCTCAGAATCATTAAAAGAAACAGTAACACTTAAAGTGGACTGAGTGCTTACTACACGCCAATCACTGCCCTAAGCGTTTCATAGTAATTACCTCATTTTCACTTCATCACAAAACTATGAGATGGATATCATTTTATGTCCACATTGCTGGGGAGGAGTTGACAGCCTCGGGGCATTCACCCAGAGCCTTCACACTTAGCTTTCCTTCACACTGCCTCTCTGTTATTTTAAGCATCTCTCCACAAAATAATTTCTCTCCTTAAGACTTTGTCTTAGCACTTATTCTCCAACATATGTCATGGCCGATATGCCAATCTCCAGTGATCAAGTTTCCAAAAACTGCTCCTCTAACTAGTTAAAGTAAGATCATTCCTTTGCAGACAATCTTAATGCAATGGTAGCCTTCTGTGTTACCCTTCCAAATTGTCTTTCCAGGTGAAATTTTTTGTCTTCTGATAATATAGGTATTACTTACTATCAAACATGGGTCTTAGTCCTAGAACAAGAGTGTCCAATCTTTTGGCTTCCCTGGGCCACGTTGGATGAAGAAGAATTGTCCTGGGCCACACATAAAATACACTAACACTAACGATAGCTGATGAGCTAAAAAAAAAAATTAAAAATTGCAAAAAAATATTATAGTATTTTAAGAAAGCTTACGAATTTGTGTTGAGCTGCATTCAAAGCCATGCTGAGCTACACGCTGCCCACAGGCTGCGGGTATGACAAGCTTGTCCTAGAACTTTAGCTCCGTCTTCTCTTCCCTATCTGAAATGGAAGTCTAATGTCTGAATTTAACTTTGTTCCTTGTCAGGATGTAAGCAACCTCCCTGTTCCCCCATGCATAGCTCCCCTCATAGATACTTTTGGTATTACCTAATTCCTGGTGCTGCAGGGCCCAGGACCCAGCCAAGTTGGTTCTGATCCTCTGTTCACTCAGCTTCCATGCTCATAGACAGGAAAACCCCTCCCTGAGTCTGGCATGGTTTCTTTCTCCCCCAAGAAATAAATAAGCTTTCAGAAATCTGGCTCCAAATCCAATATGGATGACACCTTCAAATTTGGTATTCCTACAGCAGAAGTATTATTCTTGAATGAAAGTAAGGGTTTGTGTCCAACTGTAATACAATTAAAGTTATCTTTCAACACCCTCCAGCATTCCCCAAACAGATGACCTCGAATGAATCAAGCCAGCAGGGCCATCCTTAGATACCTACGAGCAGTGGGGAAATGTGAGTGCAAATCCCTCTGGTATTCCCCCTTTATCACTTTCTTCCTCTGTTACGTTCCCTCTCCAGAAAAGAAAAGTCCAAACACTGCCACATTTAGCACCTCACTCAGGTCTGACCTTTTTTGGGAGTTGTACTACAACAGACACTTATTTTCTCCTCTCCATTTCACTCAAAACAAACGAACAAAGCAATGACCCCTGCCTTTTACTCAATCAACCTGCCTCTGACAAACAAATCCACATTACAGGGGCAATTACTTATAACAGCTTCATGTTTTATCCTTCTTGATAACAGCTATATATTTAATGAGGACACTTGGAAAGTAAGTAACCTAAGCCAAAATAATATATTTTTAGTTTTGGCATTTCAGGAAATGTGATAAAAGATAAGTGAGAATCAGGACAATTTTTCTTAGGCCTCTAAATGATCCCAACTGGAAACACCCCTATGGTTTGGCCTTGGAGCTATGCATCCAAATTTCATAAAAAGATACACCTCACTAAGTGAAGAGAAATAATATTTCTTGAGCACTTACTCTATGCGTATGCACTATGAGTTTTGCACATGCAATTTCATTCAATTCCTAATGACAGTCCTGTGCTGTGCAATGGGTATTATTATCCCCATTTTACAGTGAAAGAAACTGGGGCTCACCAAGAGTACATAGATCCAATTTCTCTCCACTAAGTAGTAAAACAAGAATTGAATGTTAGGTGGGCCTCCCTCCTAACCATGGTCTTTATTCACATTATTCCTAAGGTCTGACTCCCATTTTTTGTAATCTTTTGGCAGCTGCCACTCTCTATAAATATCACCCCTTATCAAATTGTCTGTAATAATACTGGCTCCATTGAGGGGTACTTTCCATCTTTAGTACCCAAAGTGCCCAATGGCAAATGAGCAAAATAGAATTATTTAGGTCGTTGAGGATTCTCCTGATAGGTACTGAAAGGTTATACTAAATGAAAGTAAAGCTTATGTTTCAAGTACAAAGTGTTACTCAGGGAACAGTTCCAAAGGAAAAGGGAGTTTGCTTTCCTATGACCAGGGCATGGGGAGGGCAAGAGAGTAGCTGTGGTTCCATAAATGGCAAAAACTCACCAAAAAGATAAGAGTCTCTGAGGCAAGGGTATGGCCCCTGTGTTCTGATGGGCTGATCACAAGAAGCTGGGGCCTTGGGAAGGATGACAAAAAAAAAAAAAACTCCCAAGTGCTTGAGGAAGCAGCAACCATGTTGAATCCTAATGGCTACCGCTACCAGAGGAGCTGCAACTCTGCTGTGCCCAAAGGCAGTGCCACATCTCCACCTCAGGGGTCTATGTCTCATTTACTCTCCATTAGCCATGACACCTTTTTCCAAAATGTCACAGTGATTAGTGATATCCCTTGTTCCTTCCCCTCCATTGCCAGATAAGCCAGGCTCTGCAATCTCAGCTTTGAGAGCTCATGGAGGTGGTACTCCAAGGACAAACTCCTCTCTCATTTCCAGTACTGTCAACCTAGGTGCGAATGAGATTCAATGCTAGTGAACTGGAACATCATTACCTCTGTGCCATTGCAAAACTTTCATAACATCAGTCACTTCTGTCACCACATGTTAAAGCCTTTTATTAACATAAACACACACACACACATCTCTTTCTCTCACGATGCACGCGTAAATCATGGTGGCTGGATTGGAATGAACTTTACAATCAGTTGCATTGCGATACCAAGCCATCCGTCCTCTCCAGCTCTCCAGCTTTGTTGTTCAGTCTAGCTCACTTCATTTCATGCCTTCTTCACTTTATTCTTGGGGCTTCCTCCATTTCTTTTCTCCCTACACTTGCACTTCCTCCAGGTTCACCTCCATCTAGCAGCCAAGATTTCATATGTCCAAACATCACAGTTCAACAGTGGAGTGTGGTTGTTTCCAGATGGATCCTCAGGCTTCATGTAAATCAGTAGATATGTCAGGTATAGGGTAGGTAGGGAAGAGTCCTAAGGCAGAACTGTGCCCAACATGTTCATGGAGGAAAATAAGAGGGTCTTTGTGGCTCCAGAAGAGTGAAAGAAAAATAACAGGATTAAAGTGGGTTACCAAGAGAATGAGCAGGGACCAACTGAAGGAAGTATAACTAACTCATAAGAAGGTTTGATGCAAACTGAGAAAATGTTTCTGATGTTCCCTTTGCCCACTGGACAGCTTTACACTGTGCCATGGTGCTTTATATACTGGATTTGCTTTACCAGTTTTTACTACTTAGGGGGACTGAAGGGTATTAATTAGTGATGCTCACCAAATGTTTCTGCTTCTCCATCAGAATACATGGTACGATTGAGCTTGCTTTCTCCCCATGTAACTTCCTGTAGGAGTGATGTATGTCACCTCCAGGTGGAAGCTTTATGAACTAGAGCAAAATTCACTATGGTTTCTTTCCACCTGTGTGGGCAAACAAGAACCTTCAAGATGAGGTCTGCTCCATCAGCCTGCATCCTGGAGTAAGGGCACATGAATGAGGGTCTCTGGTCAACTCACGATGGGCAAGTCATATGAATAATAAATAAATCTTTGTGGCTGAAAGTCAGTAAGATTCCAGGATTGCTTGTTATCACAGCATAACTTATTCCAACCTGACTGACAGAAGAATGCATAGAGTTTATTTGTGTTTTTAATAATATGTAGACATGGAAGAAAATCTGAGGAGCCAATCTGCATTCGAGTTATCTTAGTAAATTACCTAAAATAAGATTAACACTATATTCATCCTACCAATTGTAATAAGCTACAAAATTACATTCAAATGTTATGTCCTAAAGCTATGTTATGTTTTATGTATGTTGTATTTCATTAACGAAATTGATTGTAACTTCCATACAACTGAAAGTTTTAGGCAAAAAAAGTAATATTCATCTCAAATTATATAGTTTCAAGTGAGAGCAGTAAAAACACCACAAAACAGGTATATTGCTAGCTCCTTTGTAAACCCCAGGATCACTTGAAGGCCTCTTCTGCCTAAAAAGACAAGTGGAGTTGCATGCCGTGTTTATAAGCAGTCACTGAATCAATCACATTGGGGTAATTTTGGATCTTTCAACTCTAAATTGGAACAGATTCAGAATACTACAATACAAAGTTTCCCTGAACCCAGCTAAAAAAATATGATAGCAACCATTTTTAGGTGATCTGTTAAGCGGATAGACACAGCCACAATCATTCACATTGAATAAGGGAAAAATTCTGTCTTTCATGTTACAAATGAATTCTTCCTTAATTATGTTAAAACAGACATACACACACACACACACACACACGCACACACACACATTCTTACAAACATTTAGATGGATTTTCCGTTCCCAGCAATTAGATTGTGGTGTTCATTTGTGTTGTGTCCTTTGATACTGCCTAGAGCTTTTTTTCATCATTCCTTGGCTGGTGTGAAAGCATGTCCTTTAACCATTTTTTTCATCAAGGGTAAAGACAAGCAGTATTGATGTTTAGTCATTACAATCCCTTTAGATTTTAAAAACAATTTCCATTTATAGTATGAAACTGGCAGATTCACACCGTAGGAGTCTGTTTCTTTTTACAGTCCCCATGGCCTTTGGCAGGGGACGGTGTCCACTTGCAAATGGTCTGCTTTGTGCTATCTCTCTGCTTAGTCTATAGAAATTTTCCACTAGAAGAACCGAAAGACCACAAAGAGCTCCTTTTCTCTCTGGGCAGGCAGCAATGTGGACAGCAGACAGAGTATGGAAGCTGAGTGTGTTTTGGCAGGGAGCCATGTTAGGAGATGGTTCTTGGCTACATCGAGAGCTGCTCTGTATTTATCTGTGATGGAGAAATGTGTAAATCATAGATTCAGCAGAAGTGCTTACACATAGTAGTCACCTTGTAAAAATGAGTGACTCTATAGCTTTTATTTGACATTGTTCTTATATAGACATATGACCAAACTCCAGTGAGAATGCCAACTTAAAACACAGCTGTGACACTCGTTTTTATGCCTTTGGAAAAATCATCTCATTGCTTATCTGACAACTCACTTGCAGGATGTTTGTTTTTTTCTTCTTCTTTCAAATTCCTCCTTCCTTTGCTTTCGTCTTTTACCTTTAACACTAGTTTAGTGGAAAGGAATAATCTTCATTTCTCTAATGCATGAGATTATGTTTCTAAATGTTTGAATAGTGTTTATTATTATAATTATTGTACTATTATCATAGAACAGATAGGAGCTTGAACTGTAGACCAAGATTGTCTGGGATACCTTATTCTCCCCTACTCTATGCTTGCTATAGATGTGCATTTTACCAAGTATCTTTCCTAATATTTTCATGTGTTCCTGTAAAGATAAAATTATTTAACAGATATAAAGATTTTAGGACAGAGTCTGGAACATAAGAACCTCTATTATGTGTTTTTCATTGTTAGTCTTAGAAAAAGTAGCACCTTATTGCAGAGCATCTACATCTAATACAATCCAGTGCAAGAAAAGATCATTATAGTGGTAAGTTTATACTGAGAATCCCCAAATTGTTCACCATAAAAGACTCAATTACAGACCCCACACTGAGAGAGCCACTACATCAACAGAGAAGTTAAACAGCACTTGGCCCATAAAAATCTTGCCTTATCTAACTAATAAACCCTGAACTTTAATGTCCAGATCAGCTTTCACCATAGTCCTCTGGCCATGGCACCTTGGACGTTTATTGAAAGAAAGGCTTCAGCTCTGCAGCCCCATCTTGTCATAATTCTTAGAGTATATTAAATTAACACCATGACCAACTCTAAGGACCTATACACCCTTGGCAATGCAACAATCCACAGAATAAAATCAGCAAAGAGTCCCCACCAAAGTAAATGTCATGCCTATGAGTGAATATTCTCCCCCAATTCTATACAATTCCTTCAGATACTATCTTGTAATGTAGTAGACTCTGAAACCAGACTGCCTGGGTTAGAATTCTGGCTCTAACACTTACTACTATGTGATGATGGACAAGTTAGCTACACGCTCTGCACCTTAGTTTTCGCCAATATAAAATGAAGATGACTACAGCACCTAACTTTTAAGGTTGTTGTAAATGCATATGAGTAAACATATGTAAAGCGCTTAAAACAATGCTTGGCACATAGTAAACATTCAACTATTGTTATTAATTTTGGCTATTATGATTAAATTAAGAAATTGACACTTTTTAGCAATAGAATATGTAATGGCAATTTCATATAGTTCAACATAATATTATATGACCATTCCATAGGTTGTCTGCAGGCACCTGGCCAAACTGGAGCTGATGAATCTCTTCCTGGGGATTTTTCAAGTTAGGACCAAAAGAATGGTAGTTGATCATGAAAGAGGTAAAATTCCAGTCATTAGCAACAATATTTCCCATTATGTAGAGCAGCAGTCCACAACCTTTTTGGCACCAGGGACCGGTTTTGTGGAAGGTGATTTTCCCACAGACAGTGTGGGGGTGGGGATGGTTTCAGGATGAAACTATTCCACCTCAGATCACAAGGCATTAGATTCTCATAAGGAGCATGAAACCTAGACTATGTGCAATTCACAATAGGGTCTGCTTGCACTCCTATGAGAATCTAATGCCTCCACTGATCTGACAGGAGGCGGAGCTCAGGTGGTGATACTTGCTGGACTGCTGCTCACCTCCTGCTGTGCGGCCCAATTCCTAACCCGCCAGAGACTAGTACCAGTCCACGGCCTGAGGGCTGGTGACCCCTGATGTAGAGACAGCCAGTGGGAAAACACTAAAAAGAAGGAGAGAGGGTGGGGGTAGAGAAAGAGAGACAAAGAAATTAACCTCACAAGCAGAGCAGAGCTGAGAGACAATATCTTGGTGACTTTTGAGACCTAATTCTTTTTTATTTTTTAGTAATTTATTCCTTTTCATTGCTGAGTAGGATTTCATTTTGTGGTTATAACATTATTTATTTATCCATATACTTATTGATAAACATTTGGATTAACTCCAGTTTGTAGATACCATGAATACATTTGCTATGATCATTTCTGTACATGTTTTTGTGTAGACATGTGATACTTAATTCTAACTAGTTGTCTGCAAGGGTCAACTGCAGTTTCACACCTGGGTTATTCTGAGATAACTCAGTAAACAAGTGCTTCCAAAAAAATAAGCTTTTTGTTTAAACTCTTTCAAAGAAGATTTCTCTTTCTTAGGACCAAGGATCTCCTACAAATACATTGCGTTTACAAGATTAAAATAATTGCATCTATCTTGAAGGTTTTTTGAGTGTGTTAAAGGAATAGATACATTTATGAAGATTGATTCAAAATATCTGACACAAGAGAAAACATAATAAAGCTGGCCTCCATTAATTCTATTACTGTAATCTAAGTAATCTGACGTACATGTTGTCAGAGACATAGGTTATATGGAGATCAGGTTATACCATATGAGATGTAATGTGATTCAAGATAGTTGGAATAACCCTTTCTGCTTGGCTATTATTCTGTCTGACTTCCAAGAAAGTACATTTTTAAGTTCTAGCTCTGTCAAAGCTTTTCAACTACAATATTTTTTACATAAATTGATTGGGTCTTAATTTATGAAACGAAATTCATCCAACTCTAAAACGTGCCCACTTTAAGACTTTGTTCCAACCCATCTAAACTTTCTTTTTTAGATTTCTGATTAGTTTTTTACTTCGGATCTCTCCTTTCATGTTTTACGTTGGGTAGCCAAGTTTTCTACCCCTAGAATCCTCAGGCAACTCCATCCTCACATGTATTTTGCCTTTCTCATTGTCCTGGCTTCTAACCACTAGCATTCTATTGGAATTAATAATGGCATTTAGCAAGGTCACTAGATACAAGGTCAATATTATGTTTCAAATCAATTTTATGTTTAATATGAGGTGGCTAATTTCATGTGTCAACTTGAGTAAGTCATAGGATGCCCAGATATCTGTTTCAACATTATTTCTGAATGTGTGCGGGGGGTGTTTTGGGATGAGATTAGCCTTTGAATCGGAGAACTCAGTAAAGTAGAATCCCCTCCCCAGTGTGAGTGCATCACCCAACCCATGGAGAGCCTGAAGAGGACAAAAGGCAGAGGACAGAGGAATCCTCCTCCTCTCCTTTTTTTCCCCCTGTCTCACTGCTTGAAGTGGGACATCTCCCCTCATCTTCCCCTGCGCATGGCCTGGGACTTACACCATTAGCTCTGCTGCTTCTCCAGCCTTCAGACTCAGACTGAGTTACACCCTTGGCTTTCACCAGCATGCATGATGTGGCAGATCATGACTTCTCAGCCTCCACAAGCACATAAGCCAATTCCTCATAACAGATTTCTCTCTCTCTCCCTCATGTGTGTGTGTATGAATAATAGAGAGGACAGAAACAATAGAATCTATATACACACATATACATGCATATATATACACCTATGTATATATTCATATACACACCTATATCTGGGTATATATGTGTGTGTATATCCATGTGTATATATATATGTGTATATATGTATACATGTGCATATGTGTGTATATGTATGTATACATATGTGTAGACATGTGTATATGTATGTATACGTGTGTGTTGTATGTATACATATGTGTACATGTATGTGTATATGTATATACCTTGTGTGAACACTTTACATATGCTTACTTATACGCATATACAGCAACCTTAAAAGTTAGGTGCTGTAGTCATCTTTATTTTATATAGGAAAAAACTAAGGCACAGAGAGTGTAGCTAACTTGCCCATATACATACCCACACATATATATTTAAATATACATATATAATATATATTCATATATATGAGTATGAATATATCTATTATATATGTGTACATTTATAATACATATGTTCTTATGTATACGAGTATGAATATATGTATTATAAGTTTACACATATATAATATATATTCATATGTATATTTGAGTATATATGTGTGACTGTATATATACGTATGTGTGGGCATATATCTATATCTATCTATCTATATCTATATCTATATCTATATCTATATATATAATTGGTTCTGTTTTCTGAAGAACCCTAACAGCAACATACCATCAACAAATATGAAGAAAATAAATTTAAGAAATGACACATTTACAATAGCAGTATAAAATACAAAACACCTAATAAATCTAATTTTAAAAATTAATACACTCTCTACACAAATACTACATAACATTTTTGAGAAGAAAAAAAGGACATCTAAACACATAGAGGGATATATCATGTTCATTATCTGGAAGATTCAATATCAATTTCTCCAAATTGCTCTAAAGAGCCAATGTAAACCTTCCTCCCCAAAAGTGCCAAATTATATTTTATAAAAATATACAAACTTTTTCTAAATGACAAAGAATAACTAAGACAACCTTAAAGAAGAACAAAGGTGGAAGACTTACAAGGTTTCTAGCAAAGCTATAGTAATTAAGCTTTGGTATAAGCATTGGTATAAGAATGCAAAACGTCCAGAAGAGAAAGTTCAGAAACAGAATGAAAGAGAAGTCACATACAAGGACACTTGACTTACAACAAAAGTGATACTTCAAAATAGTGGGAAAAGGGCAGGTTTTTCAATAATAATGCTGAGTCATCTGATAATTATATGGAGTCAAATGAATGCTGACTCCTTACTAGCAAACAACATAAACAAAAGTTAATTCCAGATACAGTGTTGATTTAAATGTGAATGGTGAAACAATAAGGTTTCAAGAAAGTAACGTAAGAGACTATCTTCAAGACTTTTCAACTGAAAATGATTTCCCAAAGAAAACATAAAAAGTATTAATCATAAATTAAAATTAATACATTCTGTTTATCAAAAGAAATCTTTAAGAGATTTAAGAGGTTAGATACACTGGGAGGGGATATCATCTGAAATGCTTATACAATAAGTATCACCTATGCCAAACATAGAATGACATCCTCAAGTGAAAAGTGGGTAAAAGTCTAAGCCATTTCATAAAAGAGCATAAACTAATTGCCAATTAATATAGAAAAACATGTTATTCTCATTTGTCATGAAGGATATGCAAAATAAAACAATACTATACATTCTAAATTATGCCAATTTAGAATAGCTAAAATTAAGAAGATGGACAAAACTAGTGATCGTGAAGATATGGAAGAACTGGAAATCTTGCGTACTACTGGTAAGATTGCAAATTGGAAAAAACCTTTAGGAAAACTGTGTAGCAATAGCAAATACTAGGAGGGAACTTTTAATGTGTTCATAATATTCTATTTCTTGATCTGTAGGGTGGTTGCTCATCAAGCTGTATCCTTGTGATTTGTGCAAGTATCAATATGTATGCCATTTTTAAATGAATACATATTTATTTAGTTTTTTTTTTTTACTACCCATGTTATTTTCACATGTTGATTAGGTATTTAATGGTAAATTGATGTAAGTCTAATTTTATTTCTTATTTTCAGTGACAACATCTCAACAATGAATATTTGATCTTACAAGAAAAGTGTTATGGCCAAATTACAAAAAAATGCATATGTTAACTTTTTATAGTAGATATGACTGCATTTTAACTTTAGCAATGCAATAATCCTCAGAAACTACATCTGCAAGGAGCCTCAAAGCAAGTGTTTTTTTTAAGTTGACAAAAATGTTCTTTGATCTGTAAGACTATATAAATCAGTCAACAAACATTTATTGGACCCTTTTTATATATAACATGGGGTACTATACAAAATTCAGAAAAGCACAAGACATGATCTCTCCTAGGGAATTTGAATTCAAAACTGGAAAAACAAACTGCACTCATGTACTCAAAAAAATATATATTATCAATCCAGTGTATTAAATGGACACTAAACTAATAGTACAGATTGCAAAGAAGAAGAAAGCATTGTACATGGGGTCTGGTCAAGGAACACTTTCTGAAGGAAGTAATTTAAGCAATATTATAAAGAATATATTTGGGAGACATTAAGCACCAAAGGCTAATGTTTAGGTATGACTGAAATGTTTAAAATGAAATTCTAATTGAATAAGTGAGTGTTGGATACAGATTGTGTAAGACTAAGGAGAATGGGAATCACTGAATGTTTTGAACCAAGAAATGATATGATTTCTTCATTTGATGAAAAGTGAATCACTCATTTCTCCCATAACACATAGCTTAATCTAATTCTGGTTTGTTCTTCCTATGCTTATGTTGCCCATTGCATAGTAACTAGTCTTTTTGAAGGAAAGCATCAGTTAACAGTCATATTTATTTCTTCTAGAACATCCAGATTAGAGCCTTACACACAACTACCACTCAATAGTTGTGTGCTAAATAAATGAATCAATCAATATCAATAAAGACAGCTAAAAAAGAGAAACTTATTGATGAACATACAATGAAATACAATAAATTTAGGCTTGAGGCAACAGAAAGAGGCTTACACATCAATGAATTCATATTCATAATTCAGAAAACCATATCTAGAATCATATGTTGTATTAGTTGTAATAAGTTAATTGTGAAATTATGAAACTAAAAAGAGATAACTGGAAATGAAAGATTTTTAAAAAGCAAAACAGGTTCCTAGTGACCATGGGGAAAAAAAAAGATCCTGAGTTGTCTGTGTGATCTAATAGAGAGCTTAAAGAAAATCAAGAGAATCAGAGATTGAAGAATTTCCAGTGCCTGAGATGGTAGTGGATATTAAATGCTTTATATATTTGGGACCAGCTCCTTTAGGGCTAAGGAAGTTGAAATTTACAGACGCTCACCATAATTATAATTACTTTTGTTGGAAATTAATAGATAAATCTAGTATTGCAATTAGTTTGGGAAGTCATGAGATGAAACATGCTCCGTACGAAGCAGCAAATTATATACATTCAACCAGTTAGCTGTATTCAGCTTCTAATCATTACCACTGAAAATATTCTAAGATACGCAATAAAAAAGGAAGCATTCATTTTTCTTATAGCTTTTAACTAACTTAATGATCTTTAAAGTGGCTTCTGGTGTATTTAAATTGAGTGGCATTACCATGTAGCTTTCACAAAACAGACCTGAGTAAATCCTGTCTCCTTGACCAGCGTCGAGTTGCATTGACTTTTAGCCTACCAATGTTGAAGAGGGCATTAACTACACTAATGCATATACAGCACTCAGTATAATATCTAGCTCATAGTAGGTATTCAGTAAATGTCCATTTTTTTCCATTTATACTAAATCAGGTAAAAAATAAGTTAACATATCACAGACCATGTAAAGATTTGTATTTTCTAAATAGATATTTTGCCTTCACATCACTCTGTGATCCTTCTAAGCAAATATTCTTGTGCATAATAAGATTATCTTTGATAATTAAATTATTATGATGAAAACTGTCTTCCATAACTTGACATACAGTCTTTCTCTCATCTTGAACTTTTTAGAATCGCACATATTCCAAATAGATGTACTCTTTTGGGGGAGTCAAACTCGTAATTCCACATCACCAATATCAAAGCAACTGAAGCAACTATCACAGAACCTTAGTCACTTTATAGAATTACATTAGGAAGGAGAAACTACAGCTTGGCATCATATTTAATGTTATATAGGATATAATAAAAAATTTCTGATGAAAGTCAAGTGTCTGTATTACCACACATGGATACACAGATAGAATAGTAAATCAAATATCAAATTAGTCTTGATATCATAAAATTGAGTATGGCAATTACCAAAAAGGGAACCATGGGATATATTTCTAGCAGGAAAACACACTCTCCAGCTTGGTGTTTTGGCTTTTATAGGATTCAATGTGCTACCCATAGTCAGTAATTACAAAGCCATAATTGTGCAGGTTTCTAAATGTCATAAGCCTAATTTGTATCTCATCTAATTAGCCATTATATTATAGACTACTTTTTCCAT